>NC_000022.11:38103503-38255018 GCF_000001405.40 Homo sapiens | reverse complement strand
ATTAGCTGGCCATGGTGGCGGGCACCTGTAATCCCAGCTACTCAGGAGACAGAGGCAGAGAATTGCTTGAACCCGGGAGGTAGAGGTTGCAGTGAGCCAAGATGGTGCCAGTGCACTCCAGCCTGGGCGACAGACCAAGGCTCTGTCTCAAAAAAAAAAAAAAAAAAGAAAGTGCCAAAGTTGTTTTCCATGGTGGCTGCACCATTTTATCTTCCCACCAGCAATGTGTGGGAGATCAGGTTTCTCTGCATCCTTGCCAGCATTTGATATTGTCAGTATTTTTTATTTTATAGGTATATGATATATATTTTTTGGTACCCAGGTATGGGATGTGAAGGTGTTTTCAGTTTTTCAGTTTGCATTTCCTTAATGGCTAATGATGTTTAACTTTTGTTGTGTTTGCCTGTTTGTTTGTTTTGGAGACAGAGTCTTGCTCTGTCGCCCAGGCTGGAGTGCGGTGGTGTGATCTCAGCTCACTGCAAGCTCCACCTCCCGGGTTCAAGCGATTGTTCTGCCTCAGCCTCCCGAGTAGCTGGGATTACAGACATGTACCACCATACCCGGCTAATTTTTGTATTTTTAGTAGAGACAGGGTTTCGCCATGTTGGCCAGACTGGTCTTGAATTCCTGGCTTCAAGTGATCCACCTGCCTCAGCCCCTCAAAGTTTTGGGATTACAGGCATGAGCCACTGCGCCATGTACTTATTTGCTGTGTATCTCTTCTTTACTGAGATATCTGTTCATGTATTTTGCCTATTTTCAAGTGGGATTGTTTGGTTTTCTTTTTACCATGGTGCTTTTTTTTTTTTTTTTTGGAGACAAGAGTCTTGCTCTGTCCCCTAAGGGCGGGAGTGCAATGGCACGATCTTGGCTCACTGCAACCTCTGCCTTCCTGGTTCAAGCAATTCTGCTGCCTCAGCCTCCTGAGTAGCTGGGATTACAGGCGCCAGCCACCACACCTGGCTAATTTTTTTATTTTTAGTAGAGACAGGGTTTCACCATGTTGGCCAGGCTGATCTCGAACTCCTGACCTCAGGTGATCCGCCCACCTTGGCCTCCCAAAGTGCTGGGATTACAGGTGTGAACCACCGCGCCTGGCCCATGGAGCTTTTTGAGCATTCTTCATACATTCCCAATGCTAGTCATTTACCAGATCTGTGACTTGCAAATATATTCTTCCACTCTGTGGCTTGTTTATTCATAGTGCATAAGTTTTTACTTTTCTTATATTGCAGTTTATCGATTTTTTCCTTTTATGGATCATGCTTTTGGTGTCAAGTCTAAGAACACTTGGCCATCTCTAGGTTTCAAATATTTTCTCCTGTCTTCTAAAAGGTTTAGAGTTTTACATTTTACATTTAAATGTGTGATTTATTTTGAATTAATTTTTGTATATGTGTAAGGGTTTATGTTAAGGTTTTTTATTATTTATTTATTTATTTATTTTTGAGATGGAGTCTTGCTCTGTTGCCCAGGCTGGAGTGCAGTGGTGTGATCTTAGCTCACTGCAACCACCACCTCCCAGGTTCAAGTGATTCTCCCGCCTCAGCCTCCCAAGTAGCTGGGGATTACAGGCACATGCCACTACGTCTGGCTAATTTTTGTATTTTTAGTAGAGACAGGGTTTCGCTATGTTGCCCTGGCTGGTCTCGAACTCCTAGCCTCAAGTGATCCACCCACCTTGGCCTCCCAAAGTGCTGAGATTACAGGTCTTCGCCACCGCACCCAACCAATGTTGTTTTATTATTATTATTTTTTAATCAGTGTTGATCAGGTTAGCCTCGAATGTGTAGCCTCACCTCCCCGAGTGCCAGGGCAACCGGCCTGAGCCACCGCGGCTCCCATTATTATTTTTATTTATTTATTTACTAGTTTTTGAGACTGCGTCTGGCTCTGTCACCCAGGCTGGAGTGCAGTGGCGCGATCTCGGCTCACTGCAAGCTCTGCCTCCCGGGTTCACGCCATTCTCCTGCCTCAGCCTCCCCAGTAGCTGGGACTACAGGCGCCTGCCACCAGGCCCGGCTAATTTTTTGTATTTTTAGTAGAGATGGGGTTTCACCATGTTAGCCAGGTTGGTCTCGATCTCCTGACCTCGTGATCCACCCAGCTCGGCCTCCCAAAGTGCTAGGATTACAGGCGTGAGGCACCTTGCTGGGCCCTTTCTCCATTTATTAATGGGACTTCTATAACCTAGAACTGTCCCTTGTTAATTATGTAATTCCCCTGAAATGTTATAATGAAGAAACTGAGGCTCCGAGAGAAGTACCCGCGCAGGTTGCACGTGGTGGAGTCTAGTGGGAGTCCTGTAGGGTGACTCACAGCAGAAGCCTGGTTATGTCCCCACCACATGGAAGCCTTCTCTGACCCCCTCCCCAGCCTGCCCAAGCCCGATGCTTGCTCTAGGCTCCTGTAGTGCTGGACACTCACCTCAGCAGTGCAAGGGGAAGAGGCCTCCAGGTCACTCCTGCCTGTGGCATAGAGAAGGCATGAAGAATGGCTTGGAGCACCTTAAAGGCTGAGGCTGGGTCTGCCGGTGCCTGGCATGGAGTCCAGAGGCCTCAGGACTTGTTAGAAAGATGATTTCAGCATCTTCCATCAGGGCCCTCTGTCATGTTCCTGGCAGAAGTTTAACACTTGGTCAATTAGGGAAATAATGGGAGACAGTTGTGGTGGCTCTCGCCTGTAATCCCAGCACTTTGGGAGGCCAAGATGGGAGGATCGCTTGAGCCCAGGAGCTCGAGACCAGCGTGAGTAACATGGTAAAACCCCATCTCTCCAAAAAAATACAAAAATTAGCTGGGCATGGTGGCTCATGCCTGTAGTCCCAGCTACTTGGGAGGCTGAGGTGGGAGGATGGCTTGACCCCAGGAGGCAGAAGTTGTAATGAGCTAAGGTCATGCTACTGCACTCCAGTCTGGGCAACAGAGTGAAGCTCTGTCTCAAAAAAAAAAAAAAATTTGTTGGACATGGTGGCACATGCCTGTGGTCCCAGCTGCTTGGGAGACTGAGGTGGGAGGATCACTCGGGCCTAGGGAGGTCAAGGCTGCAGTGAGCTGTGATCATGTCATTGCACTGCAGCCTGAGCAACAGAGCAAGACTCTTGTCTCAAAAAAAAAAAAAAACAGCATCATCTGGATCTGGTCCTGCCAGAGCAGCTGGAATTCTGAGCCTCATCTGTTTGCATGGACTGCATTGGAAAAGGGGAGACATGGATGGAGCCCTTCCCCACCCCTTTCCCCACGGGAGTAAAGAGGCTGCACCAGATGGCATTGCCCCTGCTTCCCCAAGGTCCACAGGCTGTGCCAGGTGAACGTCCTGCTTGCCTGTGGGACCTGGGCAGGCAGCTTCCCGGTCAGTGCCTGTACAGAGTGTGAAAGGGTCAGAATCCAGTGCCCACCCTGCCCCAGCCCCAACACACTGTGAACAGTTTGCAGAGTCTGGCCTTGTGGTCACTGACTTGGGAGTACGTTTGACAGCCTCCGTCTGCTGCCTTGGGTCCAGGGAGCAAGGCGAGCTCTGGGCCTTCAAGCAGCTGCCTGCACCTGCTTTCTTGGGTATTGGGGACCATGCGTCTATGAGCCAGAATACGGCTTTAAGTATTTTGGGGAATTATGAAAACCCTTGAATTGTTGCCACCCTGGGTGGCTGTAAAACCAAGTTCTGCATCGTTTTCCTCATCTCTAAGATGGAGATAATGTTACTTTCTTCAAAGTTGCCTTGAGAAAATACATGAGATAATGTTTGGGGAAATGCTTTGTAAACCACCGGGGTTGCCCAAGAGTAAAATAAGTTGTTTATGAATTGGCCTCGGTGCAGAAACGTGGCCAGCATGGGTTGGGCTGCGGAAACACTCCCAGCCATGGTGGCTTCTCCTCCACCCTGGGGGACCTGCCTCCCCTCCTGCTAGAAGAGTCTGGAGGCTATGGGAGGAAGGGTATGGCCATGTCTTGTTAGGAGGCTCTGGAGCAGGAGGGGTGGCTCAGCTAGGTCCCCCCACTTTGTAGGAGGTGAGGAGACAACGTGTTGATAGGACCTGGCCTTGAGTCCTGGCTCTGATTTGGGGGTAAGTCACTCACATCTCTGGGTGCATTTCCTCTTGTGAAATAAACGACCTATATGAAGAACGTGAAGGGGCCCTGAATGCCAAGTGGGCATGGGCACGTGAGTGGGCAGAGCCGCAGGAGGAAGCTGGCCTGTAGCCTTCACCCACATCCCAGCCCTGGCTCGGGTCTGCTCTCTGGGGTTGCCCCTCTGCCTGGGAGTCCAAGCTGGGGGTTTCTCAACACCGCCCTTAGTCATGAACAAAACAGCCTTCGACATCCCCCCACACCTTGCTTGGAAGGTGAAGATTTGAGCGTATTTGTACTTCCTTTGGTCCCCCCACAATTCCCCATGTTTATTCATTTAATTTGGGATGATAGACAAAGATGATGATTTACAACCCCAGTCTTTTTCAAGAAATATTTCTGGCACTGGTTTTCAGTTTTGCAACCATACTTACAGGAGCTATTCTTGGACTTGTCACTGTGTCTCTTTTTCAAAGCTTGCCACCAGTCTTTATATAGACACCTTCTCCATTTTTGAATTTCTTTATATAGACGCCTTCTCCAGTTTTGAGTTTTAGTCTCGATTTGTGTCTCAATTGGTGTGTTAAGAGATCATGTATATGTGGGAAAATAGAAATGTACAGGGCTCTCCTAGGGTGCACACTTACAGCTAAGAGCCGACATGGTGGCGGAGATGCTGCGGCCGTTGGCGAGGAGCCGGGGTGCAGGCGGGCAGTGCAGACAGACAGCGGGCGCAGGATCCTCTGCATCGCGGGGCCAGGCTGCAGGCCGCCGCACCCAGGAAGGCCCAGGGAAACCTCCGTTGGTGTCAGGATATTCTGACTTGAATACCAGCTTGCGAATTTGGAAGGGACCATGAGATCATCTAGGTTGACCTCTGGGTTCAGACCGAGACGGTCGGGGTTGGTGTTCGCTCATTCTCTGAGCTCATTTTTGGAGCAGGGAACCCACGTGGCTGGTTGGCGGGGGAGCTGGTGCTCACGCTCCAGCCAGGCTCTTTCCTCAGTGCCTACATACTGCACTTTGCATCTTTTAAAATTGTCGGGTGTTTCTCTGGTTGCATTGCAGGTTATTGCCAGAGTTGGTGATTTGGGCAGAGGTGTTTGCTGGATGGCACTGACCAGCCTGTCAGCAGGTGGCTGTACTGAAAGGGCCGCCCCATCAGGGCTTGGGTAGAGGGTGCAGCCAGGCTCCTGCCTTAGTCTTCTTGAGCCACTATGACAAAATCCCATAAATCGACTGCCTCCTTCCTCACAGTTCTGGAGGCTGGGAAGTCCAAGATCAAGGTGCTGGCAGATTCAGTGTGTGGAGAAGGCTCACTTTTTGGCTCAGAGACGGTGCCTTCTCCCTGTGTCCTCATGTGGTAGAAGGGGCATGGCAGCTCTCTGGGGTTCCTTTTATGAGGGCACTAATCTCATTCATGAGGGCCCCACCCACTATTCTTTGTTTCACTGTGAGGCACCTCACGATCTTTGGAAACAAGCAGTGAAAATCAGTAGATAGGCCAGGCACAGTGACTCACGCCTATAATCCCAGCATTTTGGGAGGATGAGACAGGAGAATTGCTTGAGGCCAGGAGTTCAAGACCAACCTGGGCAGCATAGGGAGACCCCCATCTCTACAAAAAATTAGAAAATTAGCCAGGCTTGATGACGCACGCCTGTAATCCCAGCTACTCAGGAGGCTAAGGCAGGAGGATTCTTGAGCCCGGGAGGCGGAAGCCGCAGGGAGCCGAGATTGCACCATTGCACTCTAGCCTGGGCAACAGAGCGAGACCCTGTGTCAAAATAATAATAATCAAGTTAAGTATTGTAAGTGGGCTGGGGGTGTGAGATCTTGCCTCAAAGAGTAGGCAGGAGGATGAACATGTGAGTGGTGACAGACCCGCGTGTTCGAGGATGCGGAATGGCTAGAAGTCTCAGAACTGGAGAAGGTGTGCAGGCAGGCTTTCAGGAGGGGTGGCACATGGGCTGGGTTAAAAGATGAGAGTTTAGAGGTACACAGATTGGGGAGGAGCCACAGAGTCTCCAAAACAGCACAGCTGGATGATGGGGAGTGGGTCAGCCATTAAGGAAAGGGGGAGAAATGGCGAAGAACGCACACAGGCCCTCGGAGGAGGCCTCAGCAGTAAAGTGGTTTTACTGGCTCCAGGGTATAAAGATGTTCAGGCCCACCAGGAAGCTCCCGAATTTCTGTTGTGTGTCCACGGTTCCCAGTGCTGCCTGTATAGTCCCAAACAGAGCCGCTGTCCCCAGGGGGCCTGCATTCTAGGTGGGGTGGGGGGAACAGTTAATAAATACATGAGTGAATCGAGTTAGTCGGGTGGTGTCGATGTAATGAGTGCTCTGGAGGAAAAGAAAGGAAAGCAGGGAGTCAGGCATGCCCAGCCTGGGAGAGGCTGACATGTTTTCATGGTGGTCAAGGTAGAGACCTAAAGGAAGGGTGGGAGGGAGGTATTTGACTGAGCAGAGACAGCCAGTGCAAAGGCCCTGTGGCAGAAGCAGGCTTAATATGTTCAAGGAACAGCAAAGAGGCCAGCGTGGCTGCAGCTGAGGATGGAAGTGGGAACTGTAGGAGCTGAGATCATAGAGGACAGGAGGTCCCATCGAGTCCTTGGGTACGGACTATGGTTTTTACTCTAGGGGAGCTGGGAGCTATTGGAGAGTTTTGAGCAGTGGCGGCCTGGTCTGGCTAATCCTTGGAAGACTCACAAACATGCTGAGTGGGGACTGGTCATTAGAGGCAGGGGCAGAAGCAGAGAAACTGGTCAGGGGCCTGTTGCATCAATCCAGGGGAGAGGCTGGCTGGGACAGGGTGATGGTTGGGGTCAATACAGACATGGTCAGGAGGTGGGTGGAGAGACCTGGAAGATTCTTTCCAATGCTGCCACTTGCCCTGGGAGGAGACTCACATTGCAATTTCTTCTCTCTAGGCTAGCTTGTCACTTTCTGCAAAGGTTTCCCTCAGGGAGCCTCCTGCTGCCAGGCACCATGACAGTGAGGGGGGATGTGCTGGCCCCGGATCCAGCGTCGCCCACGACCGCAGCAGCCTCGCCCAGCGTCTCCGTGATCCCCGAGGGCAGCCCCACTGCCATGGAGCAGCCTGTGTTCCTGATGACAACTGCCGCTCAGGCCATCTCTGGCTTCTTCGTGTGGACGGCCCTGCTCATCACATGCCACCAGGTACCCAAGCCTGGCAAGGGGCCTCTAGAAAGGTCCAGAAAGGTTCCTGGCTGAACAGAGTGTGGGTTAGGCTAGGCTAGGCCAGGCTGCACTGCAGTAGTAGGTAAGCCCTCTGTTCTCAGAGGCTTCCCTCGATAGAAGTCTACTTCTTGTTTGTTTGTTTGTTTTTTGAGACAGAGTCTCACTCTGTCACCCAGGCTGGAGTACAGTGGTGCGATCTTGGCTCACTGCAACCTCTGTCTCGTGGGTTGGAACAATTCTCCTGCCTCAGCCTCCTGAGTAGCTGTGACTACAGGCGTGCGCCAAGAAGTCGCTTTCTTGCCTGCGTCCCAGGGCCCAGTGCAGCGCAGGTTCCGACGTGTGGCTCTGGCTTCAAGCCTCGCCCATCTGACACCTAGCAGCAGGGAATGTGCGAAGGCACTCTGTATATTTAACCACCTCCAGCCAGAGGTGACACTCGTCACTCTGTTCACCTTCCATTGGCTGGAACTAGTCTCGTGTCCAGCCTAAACAACAGAGAGCCTAGAACTGCAGGAGCACAGGGACAGGGACCGCTTTGCAGATGAGAAAATGGAGAGCCTGAGAGGGAGGGGGAGAGGAACTAGCCTGGTCACTTGGAAGTTGGTGGTAGAGTGGGATAGAAGTCAAGTCTCCCGTCTGCCTGTACTTGTGGCCCCAGAGGAGGCTGATGTGGGCTGGGACGGGCCTTGGTGGCTGCAGAGGTTTGAAGGTGGTCCAGTGGAGAGGGGCAGGGTGAGTCTGCTCGTGTTCCCTAGTCAGCCCCTTGCCAGCTGCCCTGTGTCCCCATCCCTTTTAGAACCCATTTGCGTCCAAGGCTTTTGGCTCATAGCAGATGGAGAATATTTTGTTCTTTTCCTCCCCAGCCCAGGGCTCGGCTGGGCCAAGTGTGATGTCATGAGAGCTGGGACGAGACACCCAGGGGCTGCCTGGACTGAGGACTGTGGTAGAGCAGCTCTTGGCATTTGTGTGTAGCTTTTACTTTTTTCCTCTGCTTCCTAAAAGTAGCATTCATTCTCCTAACTTCCTGGTGAGGTAGCTGCCTAACTAAACAGAGCAGCAGTGGTGCTGCCTCTGTTTACCAGATGGGAGGAGGAGGCACAACCTGAGGACATCCCTGCAGCCACTCGGCCAGGAAGTGTGTCCACCCGCCATAGCGTGAGGGCTGCGTCTGTCTTGCCATAAGTTAAGGGACGGGGCAAGGCTGCAACCCAGGTGGCAGTGATTTAGCTCAGTGCTGCCACAGTCACAGCCGGAGTGAGGTAGAGGGAAAGGGCACACACTGATGGCCCAGAGCTGCCAGTGCGTGAGGTCCCCTGGGGAGCTTGTGGAAACTGCATTTCCATCCTCATCCTTGGCCTTCCTGTGGGCAGGGGTGTGGGCTCACTGCCACCTGCACCTGCAAGACTGCCCCACAGGCACTGCTGCATGCACTCCACGAGCCTTGTGCACGCCCGCTGGTCTGAGTCTCACAATGGCCTTGGGAGGCAAGTCCTGTCATCCCGCATTTTGCAGAGCAGGGCTCTGAGGCTCAGGGGTAGGTCACGTGCATCGGGTCACAGATGAGTCGGTGGCAGAGCTGGAAGCCCACCTGCCCTCCCGTCCCTGTGGACAGGAGGGTCCCCAGCTGACCCCACACCTCTGCCCCCAGATCTACATGCACCTGCGCTGCTACAGCTGCCCCAACGAGCAGCGCTACATCGTGCGCATCCTCTTCATCGTGCCCATCTACGCCTTTGACTCCTGGCTCAGCCTCCTCTTCTTCACCAACGACCAGTACTACGTGTACTTCGGCACCGTCCGCGACTGCTATGAGGGTGAGGATGGGGACGGAGTGGGGAGGGCTGGCGGGGGGCTGGGGGGCTGGGAGCCCCTGTCCCCACATTCCTCCCCGAGGGGCTTCATGAGGACTGTCTTGACACACCCCTTGCTGCTTTACCTACTACAGGGTTTCTGTCCCAAATTGACAGGTAACAGCACATGCAGCTAGAGTCTCACCTCACAGGTACCTGGAAGCAAGGGCCCTCCACCTGGGTCTCGCTTCTCAATGCTGGCGTCTCAGGCAGGTACCTGGAAGCAAGGACCCTCCACCTGGGTCTCGCTTCTCAATGCTGGCGTCTCAGGCAGGTACCTGGAAGCAAGGGCCCTCCACCTGGGTCTCGCTTCTCAATGCTGGCGTCTCAGGCAGGTACCTGGAAGCAAGGGCCCTCCCCCTGGGTCTCGCTTCTTAGTGCTGGCGTCTCAGACAGGTACCTGGAAGCAAGGGCCCTCCCCCTGGGTCTCGCTTCTTAGTGCTGGCGTCTCAGGCAGGTACCTGGAAGCAAGGGCCCTCCCCCTGGGTCTCGCTTCTCAATGCTGGCGTCTCAGGCAGGTACCTGGAAGCAAGGGCCCTCCACCTGGGTCTCGCTTCTCAATGCTGGCGTCTCAGGCAGGTACCTGGAAGCAAGGGCCCTCCCCCTGGGTCTCGCTTCTCAATGCTGGCGTCTCAGGCAGGGTGGGGGCAGCAAGCAAGTGGTCTGTTTGTAGAGACCCCAGGTGGCCCCAGGTGCAGTTGGGTAGGGACCCTTCCAGGGATCCCTGGCAAGTCAGTGGCAGGGCTGGGGCTCTGTCCCCATGGGTCTTAATTCTGAGGGCTTTGTCCCACGAGTGGGTGCCCTACTGTGCCACCCAGGAAGAAGACTCGATTCCTTCCGGGGACTTGGTTCTGGATGTGGAGTGGAGACATCACCTGCTCCCATCCTGAGCTCCGACCACAGGCCAGGAGCTGGGTTGCCAAGAGGAGAAGCCAGCCTCACCCCTGCTGCCCTGCGGGAGGCTGTGGCCCCTAAACAGTCACCACAAGGAGACCAGGATGCTGCTCTCATGGGAGCTGGCCTCTGACCTGTCTTGGGCAGGTCCCAGGCATTCCTCATCTGTTAGAGGCCAGCAATGCCCAGGTCTGCCCTAGACAGGCCAGCAGGAATGGAGAGGAGGGGTTCCTCAAGACCCCTGCATTGGGCTGGGTGCAGTGGCTCACGCCTGAAATCCCATTACTTTGGGAGGCCGAGGCGGGCAGATCACCTGAAGTCGGGAGTTCGAGACCAGCCTGACCAACATGGAGAAACCCCGTCTCTACTAAAAATACAAAATTATCCGGGCATAATGGTGCATGCCTGTAATTCCAGCTACTCAGGAGGCTGAGGCAGGAGAATCACTTGAACCTGGGAGGCAGAGGTTGTGGTGAGCTGAGGTCGTGCCATTGCACTCCAGCCTGGGCAACAAGAGCGAAACTCTGTCTCAAAAAAAAAAAAAGACCCCTACATTGATACCCATGCTATTCTCAGAGTGTGAGGTTTCCTGTCTCCTACCCACACCTGTGCTGCTGGTTTTAGGTAAAGTGACCGGATGTGGTTTTCCTAATCTCAGGCAGAGCAGCTCTGGCCATGCCCAGAAGTTGTCTGTTTCCTTGACCTGGGAGGGTGCTGCCCCAGGCCTGCACTCTGTGGATATTGGAGTGAAGCATGCTCATCCCCCAAGCAGCTGGAGTCTCTCTTCCTCTCCACGTTGAAACTTGTGTATCCCTGAGAACTCATAGGGCACAGGAAATGCCTTTAGGTTTGGCAAGAAAATGGAGGCGCCCAACAGGAGCCCATTGCACCCCAGCCTTTCATATTTCTGCCTTCCCACCCCCAACTGCGGCCACATCAGGCAGGTGCTTCCCAGCCTCAAGGGCTTGATACGTGCTGTGTCCCCGGCCTGGGAAGCTCTTCTGCTCTGCGTGGGGTCCCTCCTTTCCATCCGTCTGTTCCCCGCCACTCTCACTCCCAGCACCCATCCAGGTCCTCGGCCCCACCACAGTCTGCAGCTCCCTTGCTTCGTGTTCCATCTTCCTGAGCATGATTAGCCCTGCCAGAGCAGGATGGGGTGCAGCCATGCCCAGACAGAGCCGGGCCCATGGGAGATGCCTACTTCCTCCCTTTTGGATGAATAAGGGACTTAATCAAACCCCTGCCCTGTGCCTTGCATTCCTCCATGTGGGGCCTCAGTAACATCCCATGCTCCCTCCTCGCAGGCTGGCGTTCCATCCTGTCCTTCCAGATGAGAATACTGAGGCCAGATGGGGACCTGCTCAGGGCTTAACTGGGGCTCTGGTGTCTGATATTTCTGGAAGCAGCCAAGTCTCCAGGGAAACCTCTGGGTCCCTGGGGCACCATAAAGGCTGGAATTGGCGAAGTGTGGGGCTGAGAATCCACTTCCATTCAGCTGCCAGCCTCGCATGGGTACCCAGGGGCAGCCTCTGCCCACCTGTTCCTTCAGAAGCACAAAGCTGTTCCCTGCCAAGGTGGCCTCTCCTGTGTGGTCGGGGGACAAGTGTGGGCTCTCTTCTCGGCGGGACCCCAAAGACAGGCGCATGGCAGAAGGCGGGGCACACAGCCAGGGGAGCCTCCGCTTCACTCTCACTCCGTGCCCCAGAGGCGGCAGCAGATGGCTGGCGGGCACCCCTCACTCCAGAAGCCTCTTTGTTCAGGCCCCGCCTGCCCTGACCTGCCTCCCTGCCCGGGGAGAGGTCCTCCAGGAAGTCGGCCACCCTGTGAAGCACATCTCCTAGCAACGCGATTATCCCTTTGGCCTGGCCTCTCCCAGGGAGTTTACAAACAGTACAGCAGCTGCAGTGAAGTTCAGGCTGCCCCCGAGTTCACCAGCTTTTTTTTTTTTTTTTTTTTGAGACCGTTGCCAGGCTGGAGTGCAGTGGGGCAATCTCAGCTCACTGCATTCTCCACCTCCTAGGTTCAAGTGATTCCCCTGCCTCAGCCTCCCGAGTAGCTGGGACTACAGGCGTGTGCTACCACGCCCAGCTAATTTTTGTATTTTTAGTAGAGACGGGGTTTCACCATGTTGGCCAGGATGGTCTTGATCTCTTGACCTTGTGATCTGCCCGCCTTGGCCTCCCAAAGTGGTGGGATTACAGATGTGAGCCACCGTGCCTGGCCAAGTTCACCAGCTTTTAGCATCAGAGGCAGCGGGGCCTGCTCCTTGCCTTGTCCCTGCACCACTGCTCTGGGTCCTAGCCCCTCTCTTGCAGCTGCCTCTGCAGAGTCAGTGATGGGGCAGTCCCCCCCGATCCTTGTATTTCCCCTCTCACCCTTCCTTCTCAGTGCCCAAGAGGGGCCAGGAGGGCCCAGGAGGGAGTGGGATTCACCTGGGCTGGAGAACTCTGCAGATCCAGCCAGCCCTTCCTGAGGACCTGCTCAGAGCTGAGCACTACGGTCATTTGCTTTTTTTCTTTTTTTTTTAGAGACGGAGTCTCGCTCTGTCGCCCAGGCTGGAGTGCAATGGTGCAATCTTGGCTCACTGCAACCTCCTCCTCCTGGGTTCAAGCAATTCTCCTGCCTCAGCCTCTCGAGTAGCTGGGACTACAGGCACACGCCTTCACGCCCGGCTAATTTTTTTTTTTTTTTTGTATTTTAGTAGAGACGGGGTTTCACCGTGTTGCCTAGGCTGGTCTTGAACTCCTGAGCTCAGGCAATCCGCCCGCCTTGGCCTCCCAAAGTGCTGGGATTACAGGCGTGAGCCACCAAGCCTGGCCCTGCTTTTTTTCTTTGTTAACAAAATTCTGCTTTTAAAAAACACTAAAAAAAATTACATTTATTAAAGTAATATAGGCATATGGTTGAAACACGAAACTCCCCTAACTCCTCACTCTGAAGTTCACTGTACTTTCAACTCTTTCAGCTGTTTTCTTCCTAGAATGACCTAAAATATGCTTGTACTGGTTTTTGTTGTTGTTTGTTTTTCAGTTTTATATGATGTTACATGGTGACTTCCTACTATGGAAGGGCTTTGTTTAAGAGACAGGTCTCGTTCTTTTTTTTTTTTTTTTTTTTTTTTGAGACGGAGTCTCGCTCTGTCACCCAGGCCGGAGTGCAGTGACGCCACCTCGGCTCACTGCAAACTCTGTCTCCTGGGTTCACGCCATTCTCCTGCCTCAGCCTCCTGAGTAGCTGGGACTACAGGCGCCCGCCACCACACCTGGCTAATTTTTTGTATTTTTAGTAGAGATAGGGTTTCATGGTGTTAGCCAGGATGGTCTCGATCTCCTGATCTTGTGATCCACCTGCCTCGGCCTCCCAAAGTGCTGGTATTACAGGCATGAGCACCGTGCCTGGCACTGAAGAGACAGGTCTTGTTCTGACAGACACAGGCGTGTGCCACCACCATGCCCCGCTAATTTTTTTTTTTTTTTTTTTGTAGAGATGAGGTCTCACTGTGTTGCCCAGGGTGGTCTTGAACTCCTGGGCTCAAATGATCCTTGCGCCTCGACCTCCCAAAGTGCCGGGATTATAGGCATGAGCCACTGCATCCAATGCATTTCCTTTTCTTATGTAACTTTTTGTTTTTGCTCCAGTTACTACTTGCCTTCTTTTAGTTTGCTGAGTTTTCTACATATACCTATCACTAGTTTATTCCTAAATACTTCAGTTGAATTTAAAAAACAAAACAAAACAAACCAACCAACCAGCCCTGCTCTCAGTAAAGCCAGGCCAATCCAGGAATCCCTGAGCTCTGCCATTTTCCCCGTGACGCTTCTCCTGGTGCCTTCTCCCTGTGCTGCAGTCAGGAATGCCTGCTTTCCAGGCTCCCGCTGCTCAGCTGTTGCCCTGGCTCTTTCATTCACCATAAGCCTGGAAACCGCTTCTCCTGTGCTGAGTCACCTGTTCCGTGGAGGCTGTTTCCTCCTTGTTCATGGTTTGCTCTCCCTGCCTGGTTGGAGCACGTCTTCCAGCAGCTTCCTGAGAAAGAGAGTGCATGGGAGGTCTATTTTGTGGAATCTGAAAATATCTTTAGTATATTGTTGTATTTGATTGGTATTCAAGGGAAATACAATCCTAAGTTGGAAATCCTTCTCCCTTTGAATTTTGAAGGCATGTCTTCACTGTCTTAGATTCTGATGTAATTTCTGGAAAGTCTGCTGTATTTGATCCCTAGTGCCTGTATGTGTGTGTGACCTGCTTGTGCTTTTTTTTTTTTTTTTTTTTTTTGCCTTTTTTTCCCCCCCTCTCCTCTTTGCATTTAGGATCTTGTCTTAATCCCCAGTGTCCTGAAATCTCACAGGAGGTGGGATAGTCATTGTGCTCGGCAACCTGGCGGGCCCTTCCAGTGTGGATGCTCCTGCCTTAAGGTTCTGGGAAGTCTTTCTGTATGTTTCTTTGATCATTTCTTCCCCTCCACTTTCTTCCAATCTCCCTTTCTGGAATTCCTGCTAGTAGGACCTCGCGCTTCTGGATTGAGCCTCAGATTTTCTTTATAATTTTCTGGCTCTTTTTTGGTACTGTTTTCCATGAACTTTGTTTTGTTTTGTTTTTTGTTTTTGATTGTTTGTTTTTTTAATCTTACCTTTGAGCTTTTCTGTTGAATGTTTTAGTTCCTTTATCATGTTTTAGAATGTCAGTAGCTCTCTCCATTCTTTTTCTTTATGATGCCTTGTTCTTGGTACGTGAGAGAGTATTGTTTTTTGGTCTCTGGGGATGGTCATTGCAGTTTTCTTCTGTTCCCTACATTGTCTCTATCTCTTGAATTCCTTTCTTCTGTTTGGTCGCTTTGGTCTTTGACCTTCTTGTTAGAAGCGCTCCTCAAATATCAGTATCCTTGGCTATTTTTTATATATAAGAAGGGCTTAAAATACCAGCAACTCAGGAGGCTGAGGCGGGAGGATGGCTTGAGCCCAGGAGTTTGAGGCTGCAGTGAGCTGTGATCGTGCCACTGCACTCCAGCCTGGGCAACTGAGCGAGACCTCGACCTCATCTCTACCCGCCCCAGAAAAAAAAAAAATTGCTGGACCTCCTGATTGGGTGATGGAACATGGGGTGTTTCCTTGGCTGTTTGTATGCAGCATGGGGGGCAGGTACCAAATGAAGCCTTTTTAAATTCTGGGACCTGTTTCTGTAGAGAATAATTTTTCATCTCCTGCCTCAAAACACTGCACAGGCTGAGTGACTGGTACAGCGTGGCAGAGATCTGAGAGGACCTCTCGCCCTTCGTATTCAGGCTTAGTCTTTGGATTTTCTCCAAGTTGTCCCATTACTGCCCTCAGCTGGACCGTGTTCTGAGGATAGAGCTGTCTCAGCCTCTGTTGAAACTTGTAATGCAGTGGCTCCACGTGGAGACTTTTAACCAGCTTCTGCGTCTGCACCCTCACCCACAGCCACCAGAGCTGCCTGGCATGTGCAGTGCTGATTTTTCCTAGGGCTCTGACTCCCACCCCCACCCCCAACCATCCGCCACTCGGTGACCATGGAGCGGTGGGCATGTGGCGTTCAGAGCTTTGTTGATGTCGCTTGGCTGTTGCCACTCCTCTTGTCCTTGAAGGTTTGCTCCCCACCCCACCCTCATTCCTTCTCATTTCAGTGGCGTTAGGAGGGCGAGGAGGGGGATAGTGGAGATAAGTGTGTGTTTAGCCTGTGAACCCTGTGACTAGTGCTTCCTGTTCTCAAAGAGAGGGCTGAGTCTTGGAAGAGGGCTTAGTGCCACGTACCATCTGCGAGGGCTGGAATTCATAGTGCTGGCATGTGTCACCAGAGGGTGTGGAGGGGCAGGCAGATGGGGGCAGGGTGGGAACCACCCCCCATATGCATTCAGTGTTTGATTGTGGGGTTGGGGGTGGGCCATAAAGACAACTCTGAGACAGTGCTGGGGAGTTCTGTGATCAGAGGCACAGGGCCTTGGGGTTCAGAGGCAGGAGGCGGTGTCCGTATGTCGCTTTATGCAGTTGCTGTTTGTTAGGAATGTTTGCGTGGCATTTCACAGTTTTCCCACGTGTTTTTCATCACTGTTAGCTCATTCTCACCTCCCAAGTACCTGGCAGAGTATATATATTATCCCCATTTACAAATGTGAAAAAAATTTGAATAGGCTCTGAAACTTGTCCAGAGTGACCCAGATCTTGTAATGGCCAAAGGCCAAACTTGCAGCTGGGTCTCTGAATCCTAGGGCTCTGTGCCAGCATGGTGAAAGAGAGGACAGGACAAGTTTCTCCCCTGGAAAAGTGTGAACTCCTGTTAGGGAAAGAGATTTGAATGCATGACAGCAACAGAGAATGATGCTTCATTCACTGTCCAACCGGGGTGAGCACAGCCGAGGGCCGCAGGTGCAGGGCCACACAAGAGCCAGAGGCCAGTTTGCTGCCAGAAGGACTCCCTGGCTGGCTGTGGCTCTTGCAGATAGAGCCAAGGATTATAAGACCTCGATAGTGGCCAGGCGCGGTGGCTCACGCCTATAATCCCACCACTTTGGGAGGCCAAGGTGGGCGGATTGTGAGGTCAAGAGATCGAGACCATCCTGGCCAACATGGCGAAACCCCATCTCTACTAAAAATACAAAAATTAGCTGGGCGTGGTCGTGCATGCCTGTAGTCCCAGCTACTCAGGAGGCTGAGGCAGGAGAATCGCTTGAACCCAGGAGACGGAGGTTGCAGTGAGCCGAGATCGCACCACTGCACTCCGGCCTGCGACAGCGAGAGACTCTGTCTCAAAAAAAAAAAAAAAAAAGAAGTTGATAGATCCAAGTGCAGAAAGACATTCAGAAGAAGCCAGTAGAAGAGAGGTCAGAAACAGCATTCAGGGCAGAAAGAAGCAGGAATAAGCATGATCAGCAGAGGATAAAAAAGCCGCGAGGGGGCTGGGCGCAGTGGCTCACACCTGTAATCCCAGCACTTTGGGAGGCCGAGGCAGGTGGATCACCTAAGGTCGGGAGTTCGAGACCAGCCTGGCCAACATGGAGAAACCCCATCTCTACTAAAAATACAAAATTAGCCAGGCGTGTGGCGCATGCCTGTACTTCCAGCCACTCGGGAGGCTGAGGCAGGAGAATTGCTTGAACCCAGGAGGCAGAGGTTGCAGTGAGATCGCGCCATTGCCATTGCTCTCCAGCCTGGGCAACAAGAGCGAAACTCCGTCTAAAAAAAAAAAAAAAAAGACAGTAGGGAGGAGAAGAGGAACCATTTGGCACAGCTTAGAGTCTGGGGTCACTTGTACCACGCAGACCCCTGCCCCCTTGGTTGCAACACACTGTGCCCATTCTTGTCCAGGATGATCACCCATCACTGAAAAGAGGCATAAGAACGTTCTGAGGCCCCTATTTTCTGAGCAGAGAAGATTTCTGCCCAAAGTGGGCAAAATTAACTTTTCCAGGCTCATCCACCCGTTATCTGAAATACAGAATGCCCCCAGTCTTTCCAAGTAACCAGAGTGTTTCTCTGCAGCAGAAGGCTGGGCCATGAGGCCAGCTTTAGGCGCTGAAGGTGTGCACAGGGGGTGAGCTTAGAATGGCCCAGTGTGCCCAGGGTCATCGGGGTCCCGCACGCAGTGTGTGGCACACAGTAGGCACACAGCGAGTGTGTATTGAAGTTATAGCAAGTTATATGAGTGTGTCTGCCTCCTGACCCTGGGAGCTGCACGCAGAAACGTGAGAGGGCAAGTACTGAGTCTTTTCTCAAAGCCCGGGGGCTCTTGGGGTAAGTGTCTTAGGTGCTCCATGCCTGAATTTCCTTATCTGTAAGCGGGGATAACTCCTTCCTTGTGGGGGAATGAGGGTGGCCGTTGCGGGGGGATGTGAACATGTAGAGCCTTACAACTGCTGGGTCCTGTAGCATTTATTAGGTCACGGGGCAGCTGAGAGGCTGGGTGGGGAGCAGTCTCTTGGCCTACAGCTTCCTACCCAGGCTCAAGGAGCTGCCAATAGGAAAGAAGGCCATTCAGAAGAAGCCAGTAGAGGAGAGGTCAGAAGCAGCATTTGGGAGGGCGACAAACAGGAATAACAGGATCCACAAGGGACAGGAAAGTCACGAGGGAGAAGCCTGGAGCCTCGGGTTTGGAAGGGACTGCTTTAGAAAGTCTGCTGAGGGGTTACCCAGCCTGATTGCTTCTGTTGGCAGCAAGCTCACGACTTCCACCTCTGGACTCTGCCCGTTAGAAATGGTTTCTTATAGGCCAGGCGCAGTGGCTCATGCCCTTAATCCCAGCACTTTGGGAGGCTGAGACCAGCGGATCACTTGAGCCCAGGAGTTCAAGACCAGCCTGGGCAACATGGTAAAACTCTGTCTTTACAAAAAAACAAAAAACACAAATTAGGCAGGCATGGTGGCCCACACCTGTAGTCCCAGCTACTCAGGAGGCTGAGGTGGGAAGATTGATTGAGCCTGGGAGGTCAAGGCTGCGGTGAGCCGTGATCGCATCTGTGTGCTCCAGCCTGGGCAACAGAGTGAGATCCTGCATCAAGAAAAAAAAAACAAAAAAAGGAAATGGTTTCGTATATTGAGTATATTGAGCTGCAGTCCTTCTGGGATCTGCCCCTGGGAGTCCCATCTGCCCCTGGGAAGAAGGTGGTTGTCACGTCTATTAAGAGAGTGACCCCTGATGTCTTCTCGTCCCCAGCACAGTCCTTGTTTTGTGTTCATCCTGGTCCTTCTCTCCTGATACTGTGCATTTGTCTCTAGTTTGAGATGTGGTGTCTAGAATGGAGCAGAAAGTTCCAGATGGGGCATGGGGGTGGGGAGCGGACAGCCTACTCTCATTCCAACGATGGAGGAGTTCCTCCCAGAGGCTGGCCCCAAGGCCATCAACTTTCCAGTCTCCAAAGACAAAACCCTCCAGAGAAGACACAGCCTGATTGTCCAGGCCAGGAGAGAGAGGCCCTCCGGTCCCTCACGCTGGTTGCTGCCCTCTGGACTTGGCCTGAGGGCTCCTTGGTCATTTATGAGAGGGCTTAGCACAGAGCCTGGCACACCAGCTGTGGTAGATATTTAGGGAGATGTAGAGTCATTGTGTGTCTCCGAGGCCTCTCCAGGGGTCTGGTACTGGAGCCGTGGTGGGAAGGGCGGTGGGCAGTGAGCTTCCCGGTCAAGCACCTCCCTCCAGCCCCGTCTCAGCTTCTCCGCTCTTCTTACATCCACGCACGCATCTTTTATTTGTTTCCAGGGGATGTGTTGAGTTTTCCATTTTAAACACCTTTGCTAAGATGTTGGAGGTGGTGTTTCACATGGCTCTGTACTTTCCAGGAGGGAGACTGATGTGTCCAGTTGGTCAGTGGGGCCAGGCTTGGGCCGGTTGCGTCACGTCTGAGGAGATTCTGTCTCATCTTCTCCAAGAATTAGGGAGTCCATTATCGACTCACTAATGATTGTTTAAAGGGAACTGTCAGCAAATTGGTACTTTACAGACTGGCTGGCCCCAGAGCACCTCCAAAAGGTCAAGAATCTTGAACTGAGAGGGATGATGACATTTGATGATTCTGATCAGTTGTGTGCAGAGCCGGTTACGGAGGGACCTCGGCCACGTAATTCAAAAGTGTGCTGACTGCTGACATGTGTTTTGATGCAGGAAAGGACACGAGCCCAGATGCCAAGCCTTTCTTGGGAGAGGACTGCAGGGATGGGCTCTCCCGGGAGGGAGCTTCCAGATAGAGAGGGCTTATGGGCCTGGGGCCCCTGTGGCTTCCCTGGAGGGTTTTGTTGTTCGAGACTGGAAAGCTGATAGTCTTGGGGCCAGCCTCTGAGAGGAGCTCCTCCAGTGTTGGAATGAGAGTGGGGTGTCCCCTCCTGCCCTGCCTGAGCCTGTTGTCATGGCAGGCTCCCCTGGGGAGATGGTCCATGTACGTCTGTCCATTCCTTCCTTCAGTGTTGATGACATGTTTGTAGCTGCCAGGCCCTCCGGTAGTCATTGGAGGTAGGACTGCATTCTACCTGCAAGGAGTTTACAGTCTGGAAAAAGCAGTAGGTAACACACCGTGGACTCTTGACTGTGCCCTCAGCTCATCTAAGGCTCTGCACGTTCACAGCCCCTGACCCCACCAAGGGAGGAGTTATCCCGCTTACAGATGAGGAGATTCGGGCATGGAGCGCTTAAGACACTTGCCTGAGGCCACACAGCTCCTAAGAGGTGGGACCACAGTTCACAACCAAGGCAGGCTGTCTCCAGGGCCCATGGCTCTTTACCTTACTTAATGTTGCTTTTGTGCCGGAGGGATCAGGCAGAGCCCAGAGAGGGGTGATGTGTGAAGTAAGCAGGGTGCAGGACAGAAGAGGCGGCATCTCAGTGGGGTCTGCCTCTGCGGTGAGCAGAGGGACCAGAATGTACCATTGCATGCAGGCGTGAGTGATCACAGCACGTCCCAGGAGCTTCAGTCATGGTTTTATCTGTATTCCACTTACCATGGCTGTGCAAATAACTACTGCCAAAACACACTAGTGTAAAACAACCATCCAGTTTCTTCATGGATATTATAGGTCAAGAATTTGGACTGGGTGCAGGGGAGATAGTTTGTCCCTGCTCCATGACCTCTGGGCCTTGGCAGGAGAGCGTGAAGGCTGGGGCAAATCACCTGAAGGCTCACTCCCTTGTGTGCCTGGCAGTTGATGCTGGCTGTCAGCTGAAGGCCTCGGTTCCCTCACATGAGCCTCTCTGTGCGGTGTCTCCAAAGGCTAGCTCGTGCTTCCCCGCTGCATGGTGACTGAGTGCAAGGACAGGCATTCAAGGGAAAAAGAGCCAGAGGAAAGAGGCCTCTTCCAACCCCTACATCAGATGTCACAAAACATCACTTTGGCTGTGGTTACTCAGGGCCACCAGATACAAAGGGAGGGAACAAGACCCCACCTCTCAGAGGAGGGGTGTCAGCATCACGAGGTGTGGCAGTCTAGAAAATGCAACCGTCGGCCGGGCGCGGTGGCTCACGCCTGTCATCTCAGCACTTTGGGAGGCCGAGGTGGGCGGATCACCTGAGGTCAGGAGTTCAAGACCACCCTGGCCAACATGGTAAAACCCTGTCTGTACTACAAATACAAAATTAGCTGGGTGTGGTGGTGTGCGCCTGTAATCCCAGTTACTCCAGAGGCTGAGACAGGAGAACCACTTGAACCCTAGAGGTGGAGGTTGCAGTGAGCCAAGATCGTGCCACTGCACTCCAGCCTAGGGGATAGAGCGAGACTCTGTCTCAAAAAAAGCAAAAACAAAAAACAAAAACAACAAAAAAAAATACAACCATCATGATATAGCTGGACCCGGCTTAGAATGGACACGGTCATTGTGCTTGGCCTTGTGAGGTTTTGAACAGAGGTTACTGGCAGGCTGACATCAGGTTTGGCTTAATGCCCACCCCTTTCCCTTTGCCCCATAGTTCTTGCTGGTGAAGAGTCATCTGGAGATTGGTGGAGACTTGTCTGTCCTGAGACATCCTGAGCTGCCTCCAGCACAGGCAGGCAGTACACACAGCCCTCAGCCCTGTCTAGGGGCTCCTGGCCCTGCAGGCAGCAGATAGACGGTAATGGTCGTGACAGCCAACACCCAGCGCAGTGAGCCCCGGACACACTTCTGAACACTTTCATGCTCACGCCTCACAGCCACCTGCCAAGTTGGTGCTCCTGTGATCCCCTTTGATAGATGAGGAAACTGAACCCAAAGAGGCTCACACACATCGCATACCTCTGCTGTATGTGTGTGAAGGGTGAAGGGACAGTCACAACAAGGCGTGGTCAGTGCTGGGGGACATATACATGGGGATGCCACCTGGAGATGGGAGCCCTTAATGGATTAGGGCAACCGTGAGTAGCATAAAATGCCGCAAATGTGTTCCTTTCCAAATCGCTGAAGGCCAGCTTTGCCTAAAAAACATCACCAGGGCTTTCCACGCTCCAGTTCAGTCAGTGAAACTGTTGTGGTGTGCCCCGTGTGTGCCATGAGTGGCACCTGTGTCCTGAGGAAGGCGAGAGGGGGAGACCAGTCATTGTGACACAGGGTGGGAAGTGTCTGCAAATCAGGTTCCGTGGGTAGGAGGGCACTCACCTCCACGATGGTCACCGGGGACTTGTCACACTGGGTGCCATCCCAGCTGGGGTTGATGGATCCTGAGAGTACAGCGGGAAGGGTGCTAGAACCTCTGGGATCTGGGAGTGCAGAAGCACCGAAGGATAAGAGAACCTGCTCTGGGGAGAAGTGCAGCATTAGTGCTGCTCGGGAGTGGCGGGAGCTTGGGCAGGGACCAGGTCACCCATTGAAAGATCAAGTGCCAAGCTGGGCGGCACCAGGGAGCCTAAAAGGACTCTGTACTGCAGGGGCTGGCGGGGTCAGATGAGAAGAAGCCCTCTGGCTGGAGGGCCACCGTGGCTCCCTCGACCTGTTCTGACCCTGTTCTGCCCCTCCCCTTGGCCTTGTGCCTTTACTGGATGCCCATCCTCATTCCCATGTCCTCACCCTGGCTCTTCCTCTTGCGTTCTTTCATTTTGGGTACCGTCTGCTGCACCCCTTCCCCCGCCTTCTCCACACTCTCCTCCATCCTGGCATGTCCATTTGCCTCTAGCACCCTGCAGGCAGCAGCCTTCATTTTGCTGACCCAGAAGGAACCACCTGACCAGGAGACCCGTTACAGCGTGTTGCTGTATTTATAGCATCAACATTTACAGCAGACTTGCTGTGCCATCACTCCCGGTGGCAAATTTTGGGTCTTTGTGGAGATGTTGAGCCGAGTCCCAATTTAGAATGAGCAGCCCAAGCTTCCCAAGGTTTTTACTGTGTTCTGTGTGCTGCCGTGTGCTTTGTTGTAGCTCATAGTGCTGTGCGTATTCCGGATACCGCTACAGGTTGTTGACTGGATGAAGGTTCTTCCCTCTCACTCCTGCTTGGAATTTCTCCCAAGATTTTCACAGAGACTGTTTTGTTGTTATCTTATAAAATTGTGACCTGTAACACACAAGTATGTAAGACAAATATTTATTTATAAATACATTAGAGATGAGGTCTCGCTATGTTGCCCAGGCTGGAGTGCAGTGGCTGTTCAGAGGTGCGATCCCACTCTGGAGTTTGACTTGCTCTGTTTCCAACCTGGGCTGGTTCACCCCTCCTTCGGCAACCTGGTGATCCCCCACTCCCAGGAGGTCACCGTACTGCTGCCAGACTTGGTGCAGACACCAGATCAGTGTAGCACACTACAGCCCAGAACTCCCAGACTCAAGACGTCCTCCTGCCGCAGCAGTAGCTGGGACCACAGGCGCATGCCACTGCGCCCGGAAAAACTAATAAAGGCAATACTGTTTCGCCCCAGGGTCGACACTGCCAGCCCTCCCAAACCTCCTGAGTACCCACCCTTACCTCAGCCTCCTCTGGCCTCCCCACATAACCCTG
Source organism: Homo sapiens (assembly GCF_000001405.40). NCBI lineage: Eukaryota > Metazoa > Chordata > Mammalia > Primates > Hominidae > Homo > Homo sapiens. Next base: position 38,231,606 of record NC_000022.11, on the reverse strand, counting down.
AACTCACGACAGTCCCTTCATAGTATTACGCCAGTGCAGGGGTGCATCCCGGGATAAGATAATTTAGGTGTGCCGGGTTTTGAACTTAGGAGTGGGAGGTCAGATGTCTGTGTTCTTGACGGGCTCCTTTTGCACAACCTTATGTCCCCCAGCCTCCTCCCTGTTGCCACACACAGCTGTGGCTCTTTCACCTCCATTGCTGTTTAGAATCCCAGCATCTGCGGACCCATTCTGCTGATTTGACTGGTTTCTCCTGGACACTCTCTTCGCAGCCTTGGTCATCTATAATTTCCTGAGCCTGTGCTATGAGTACCTAGGAGGAGAAAGTTCCATCATGTCGGAGATCAGAGGAAAACCCATTGAGTGAGTATGGAGTCTTCCCAGAGCCCTAAACCACCCCGTTTCCTGGGCCTGGTGTACCTCGAGCCGTCCTGGCACCAGCTGGACACAGACCATGTCTGCCCGTGACCTTGACCTGCTGTGCCTCACCACATTTCCTGAGCAACGCCATTCTTCTGGGCGTTTTAGGAGGGCCTCTGCGGCTCAGTCTTTCTCTCTCTGTCTCTTCCTGTCTCAGTCTTAGTGCTTTCCTGTCTGTTTCTGCCTCCTGCAGTTTTTACATTCAGAGCTCTCCAAGTTGGTTTGTCACCCCAGGGCCAGTGCAGCCCTGTGTCCCTCCGCCTATGGCATGTGCGGATGCCCTGCCATGCCTCTCCCTGTGCTTGGCCTCGGGTTCAAAGTCTGCCCAGAATGTGTGCCCCAGCTCGTCTGGATGGGTGGGAGGGCGGCCTTCCCCACCCCACTGTTCCCAAGTCCTGGCTCTTCACTCACTGCCACTGCCTGCTATGCTTGTCTCTTCCAGGTCCAGCTGTATGTATGGCACCTGCTGCCTCTGGGGAAAGACTTATTCCATCGGATTTCTGAGGTTCTGCAAACAGGTGTGTGCCCCCAGCAGCTGCCTAGCTCAGGAGGAGCAGGGCGGGGTCTGGGAGGCCCTGCCGTGGGCTGCCCTGGGCCCCACCTTAGAGGTCCCCTTTCCTATGAGGCACCCCAGGCCCCCAGCACCCACCCCCCGAAGCTGTTAGGCAGATACCACATTAGCAGGGTGTGCTTGGAGGGGCAGCGACCGACATCCTGGGAGTGTCTGTTGCACTGTGGGCAAGAGCTGATCCCAGACTCTTGCTCGTGTGACCAAGTCTCAGTGTGTGTGAAAATCAGAAGAAGTGCGTGGGGATTCTAGAACCTCCATTTGAAAACTTCTCATCAGCTGCAGCTAGGGGGCAGGAGGGTTTTGGCATTAAAGACACACGCCAGAACAGGCCTCTGCCGTCTCTTCGTCTCTCCCTGCATTTCCTGGTTGGCAATCCAGCCGCTCTAGCTTCCTGGGCTGACTTCCCTGTGGTCTAGAGTAGCCTTGGCAGTCCAGCCGCTCTAGCTTCCTGGGCTGGCCTCCCTGTGGTCTAGAGTAGCCTTGGCAATCCAGCCGCTCTAGCTTCCTGGGCTGACCTCCCTGTGGTCTAGAGTAGCCTTGGCAATCCAGCCGCTCTAGCTTCCTGGGCTGGCCTCCCTGTGGTCTAGAGTAGCCTTGGCAATCCAGCCGCTCTAGCTTCCTGGGCTGACCTCCCTGTGGTCTAGAGTAGCCTTGGCAATCCAGCCGCTCTAGCTTCCTGGGCTGGCCTCCCTGTGGTCTAGAGTAGCCTTGGCAATCCAGCCGCTCTAGCTTCCTGGGCTGACCTCCCTGTGGTCTAGAGTAGCCTTGGCAATCCAGCCGCTCTAGCTTCCTGGGCTGACCTCCCTGTGGTCTAGAGTAGCCTTGGCAATCCAGCCGCTCTAGCTTCCTGGGCTGACCTCCCTGTGGTCTAGAGTAGCCTTGGCAATCCAGCCGCTCTAGCTTCCTGGGCTGGCCTCCCTGTGGTCTAGAGTAGCCTTGGCAATCCAGCCACTCTAGCTTCCTGGGCTGACCTCCCTGTGGTCTAGAGTAGCCTTGGCAATCCAGCTGCTCTAGCTTCCTGGGCTGACCTCCCTGTGGTCTAGAGTAGCCTGGGTGGGGGCAGTGTGGTGGGGTCGCTCAGTGTGTGGGCCTGGGTGTCTGACCATCTGAGCCTGATTTCCAGCTTTTCCTCTGACTCTGTGACCTTGGATAATTGGCTTACCCTCTCTGAGCTTTAGTTTCCTCCACTGTAAAATGAGTGTAATGATACTCCTCTCTAGAGATGGTTGTGAGGATCAGATGAGGTCATGGATGTAGAGCTTTCAGCCCGGCGTGGTGGAGCCCACGGCCTCCTGTTCAGGGAGGCAGAGTCTGAGGGGATCACGCCCACTCTTCATGACCTTGCGTTAGTCTCCTCTGGGGCTCCGTAGGGGCTCTGTCATGTCAGCCCCTCCAGCTTCGCCAAGAGTAGTCACGAAAGTACATGAAACCCACAGCCAAGTCACGATGGCCCTGGAGGGCGGGGCCTGCTGCTCCCTTCTGTGCAGGGCCCAGGCCACAGGGCGGGCACACCCACAAAGCCTCCACCTGAACATGCCAAGTCTCCAGTTCTGCTTCCAGACCTTCCTTCCCTAGCATGTTCCTAAATTCAGAATCTCACCACTGGACCTGCAGGGAAAGAGTTAAAACTATCCTGGGTTCAGGGTGGGGCATTGAGAGCCATTGTTTACCAGTTGGTGCAGCCACCCAGGTTCCGGCCAGCTGTGACTCACTGCCTTGTTTGATGATTATATTGTCTACAAAATTTTGATTTCATGATTGTTAGCTAGTGTGGCCTTGTTAGAAATTATTCCCCAGCCCTGTGGGCTCAGATGTTCTGTTCTTGTTCCTGGCGGTGGCAGGGAGAGATATAAGAAGAAAGAGAACAAAAGAGGCCTCTTCCTTTCTTTACCAGGGCGAGAGAGCACACCCCACAGCTTTGTCCTAGAGGCACAGAGACAGGCCTTTGACTCCTCAGGGCCAGTGCTCAATATCCAGACCTTCTGGAGAGATTCCCTACTTAAAGTAGAGATTCCCAGATCAACCACCCACTACCCTAGCCCATAGGAGAAGTTCTGGAATGGAGCCCTGGAACCTGGCACATGTCTAAAGCTCCCTGGGGGTTCTGATGTCCAGCCCAGCCTGGGAACTGCTGACTGGTCCAGGGTATGGTCAGGTGATGATTCTGGGGCCTGCTGGCCTGGGCTCTGCTGCTGCTGCTGCTGCTGCTTCAGCTTCTCTCTGCCTCAGTTTCCTCACCTGTACCATGGGGATAATGACAGCACCCACGTCAGGGGGCTGTCATGAGTACCAGGTGAGCTGACCCAGGGAAACACCAGCCTGTTGCTAGGCTCATAACTGGAACTCATGCAAACTGCCGTTCTTCCCTTTTCCCCAGAAGGTGCCAGTCCCACTTCTCTAGGCGGGATGACAGGGCCAGGGACGTTCTGTGGGGCTTTCTGAGAGTGGGACTGCACGTCTGCCCCATCACGCGGGCCTCTCCGTATGGCAGCCCCATGGTGTGGGCTGCCTGGGGCTCCCCTGCAAGACCCACTCAGATCCCCAGTTGGGGCAGAAGCTGCAGGTTTCACGGATCACGGTTCCCACTCCAGGCTCCTCGTCCTCTTTGCAGCTACACTAGTTGAGCCTTTTGGATTGGATTTAACCTCCCCCAGCTCCTCAGAAGGGGTCTTAGGGCTTAGATTTATTTGCTTTCTAGATAATGGTGATACTAGTGATGTTATGGGCACCATGGGTCCGCCCGTAGGGAATCGGGAAAACCTGGCTGAGGAACTCTTTCCGTGGCTCAGCCAGCTAGCAGGCGCCGTTAGTGCATGTACAGAGGCGGGAGACTCCCGAGAAGATGCTGCGCTTCCTGGCTGTGCCATCCCCGCAGCAGTGGCCCTGTGGTGTGGGGAGTGACTACATCCTTTTCATCAGGGAGTCTGTGCTCAGAGGCCAAGTGTCTGCCCAAGCTGTCCCCAGAGTTCAAACTCAGATTTTGAGACTCTGGAGTCCACGTGCTCTGGGCTCCTGCAGGTCACCTCCATCCCCAGAGTGACCTCTGCTGACCAGAAACCCTGGACCCAGGCCCAGAGAGTAGGGCTAGGAACCAGATCGGGGGTGGACATGGAGGATGGGAGGAGGCCCTCACCTGCGCCGGCTTCCCGGTGGCTGGTTCCTTGAGCAGGGCCCTAGCCTTGCCCCGGGCACCAAGGTCTCCAGGACCTGGCCCTGCCCATCTCCTCAGCCACCTCTCTAGTGCGCAGCCCCTTGCACCTGTCCACCCTCTGCCTCGGGGCCTTGGTGCAAGCTGCCCCCTCTGCCTGTCGAGCCTCTCATCTCCGGCACCCACCTGATGGTCCTGGCTCGAGAAGCTTCCTTGTGTGCATCTCCTGTCTCCCGCCTCCATCGTGCCCTGCCACACCATTCCTCCCTTCCTCCCTCCCTTCCTCCACATGCTCATATCACATACGGCATTGCGCTGGCTGCATCTCCTATATGTTCTGCCCCCCGCCCCGCGCAGACAGCAGTCCCCTGGGAGCAGGACACGTAGCCACCCCCCATCTCCTCCATCTCCTCTATCCTTCCATCCCCTCCATCCCTTCGTCCCTCCATCCCCTCCGTCCCTCCATCCCTCCGTCCTCTCCGTCTCCTTCATCCTCTCTGTCCCTCCATCCGGTACAGTTCCGTCTGCCAGAGGCAGGGCTTGCTTCATGCCTTCTGTGCTCCTCCTCCACACTCAACCTCCTTTTCCCCCCAACAGGCCACCCTGCAGTTCTGTGTGGTGAAGCCACTCATGGCGGTCAGCACTGTGGTCCTCCAGGCCTTCGGCAAGTACCGGGATGGGGACTTTGAGTAAGCAGCGGGTGCTCCCCGGGGTGTGTGGGAGGAGTGTTGGCGCAGGCTGGTGCCTTGGCTCAGGGAAGGGGGCAGCCAGAGTGGCCGCACAGCCATGACCTTCCTGGGTGTCTGGTGCTCACAACCCCCCTGAAGTCTGAGCCCAGCAGTGGACACCCTTGCAGTTGGCCCCGCTGCCAGCCCCGGAGTGAGCCATTGGCAGCAGTCACGTTCATGTCCAGGCTGCAGAGTGGTACCATGAAGGGATGGGCCACAAAGGGACAGTGACCACTGCTGAGGCAGGGAGCGAGAGGGTCAGAGCCCCAAGAGGTCGGCTCAAGTCCACAGATACAAAGCCCGTGCTGTGTAAATTGTCCACACCCATTTCATTCTGGGCTTAGTGAAAGTGACCCCGTGGCTGGGCACAGTGGTTCACGCCTGTAATCCTAGCACTTTGGGAGGCCAACGCGGGTAGATCACCTGAGGTCAGGAGTTCAAGACCAGCCTGGCCAACATGGTGAAACCCCATCACTACTAAAAATACAAAAAATTAACCGGGCGTGGTGACGGGTGCCTATAATCCCAGCTACTCGGGAGGCTGAGGCAGGAGAATCGCTTGAACCCAGGAGGCAGAGGTTGCGGTGAGCCAAGATCACGCCATTGCACTCTAGCCTGGGTGACAAGAACAAAACTCCATATCTAAAAAAAAAAAAAAAAAAAGTGACCATGTGTCTAGCCCTGTGCTTTCAAGCTCTCGGCACACACTGTCTGTGAACTGTGTAACAGCCCTGCCAGGGCAGGTGGGCAAAAGGAGGTCAGGGGGATGCAGCCGACCGAGTGAAAAGGCAGCAGAGCTGAGCAGCGTCACCTATTTTGACGCCTGTTATCTGAGTGTCAGGCTATGGCCTCGGGCCCGGCCCTGGCTTCCACACTGGTGTCCAACGTTAGGAGTGTGGGCACCAGGGCTTAGACAAGTCCACGAGCCACGCAGAGGCAGTAGAGCTGGTCTGGCCTGCAGGCGCACCCCATGTACCCCCACCCCTGTCTGTCGCTTTGATCACCCATTCTGACCCCTTCAGTGGCTCGTTGAGCTCTGCTGGAGGTGTGGGGCTGAGAGCCATGGGGACTGTGTGTGGTGCAGTCGAGGAGAGCCCCTTCCCTCCAAGGGTCTGTCCCAGCCAGAAAATGCTCCCCGTCCCGCAGCGTCACCAGTGGCTACCTCTACGTGACCATCATCTACAACATCTCCGTCAGCCTGGCCCTCTACGCCCTCTTCCTCTTCTACTTCGCCACCCGGGAGCTGCTCAGCCCCTACAGCCCCGTCCTCAAGTTCTTCATGGTCAAGTCCGTCATCTTTCTTTCCTTCTGGCAAGGTGAGCCCCCTCCCAGCACCTGGAGGCTGCCCATGCCACCCTGTCCTCTGCGCTTCCTGCTGCCCCTTCTGCTTATGGTCCCTGGTGCCTGTAGGGCCTGTTCAGAGGGGCCTCAGCCCACTGGGCACTTGCTGGGGGTGAAATCTGAGCCCTCGAGGGCCTTTCCCAGGGGCTAGGGAGAGCTTTGGTGGGGCCGCTACATGGATGAGAGGGCCCAGGAGACCCTGCGTAATTGCTGGCATCTCAGTTTCGGTGGCAAAGAGCTGGGAGAGTGGGGTTTCCGGAGGCTGTGGCCTTGTGTCGCTACCCCTGCCCTGCAGGAGCAGCTGTGGCCCTGCTCACATCCTCACTGGGGCATGTGGGCAGCTGAATGGGGCATTGTGGAAGAAGGGGGAGCAGGAAAGGAATCATTCTGGGTCCAGACACCCGTGCCTCCCCATCCAGGCATGCTCCTGGCCATCCTGGAGAAGTGTGGGGCCATCCCCAAAATCCACTCGGCCCGCGTGTCGGTGGGCGAGGGCACCGTGGCTGCCGGCTACCAGGACTTCATCATCTGTGTGGAGATGTTCTTTGCAGCCCTGGCCCTGCGGCACGCCTTCACCTACAAGGTCTATGCTGACAAGAGGCTGGACGCACAAGGTATGAGCCAGGGTCCTAGGCGACCCCCGCTGGGAGAAGCAGGGAGCCCCAAACATCCCAGGACCCTCCCACCTCCCAGCATCCTACAGGTGCGGCTGGGTCAGGACATGGGATCCCCACTCTATATGCAGGAATGGGGCCACAGAGGTCGGGGAAGAGCAGGTGCCACCAGCACGACCGATTCGGTCCTGGAAGCTCAGGCCACCTGTCCCTTGCAGCAGGTCCAAGTGTGGCGGTCCAGGGCTGATACAGACAGAGACTGTAATGAATAGACAAATTCCCTCGGGCTTCTAACTCCCAACACTGTGGTTACCATTTTGTCCTGTAATTCCCTCATCTCATATGCTATTTTTTAAAAAAAGGATACTTCTGGCCGGGCACGGTGGCTCACGCCTATAATCCCAGCACTTTGGGAGGCCGAGGCGGGTGGATCACAAGGTCAGGAGATCGAGACCATCCTGGCTAACACGGTGAAACCCTGTCTCTACTAAAAATACAAAAAATTAGCCGGGCGTGGTGGCGGGTGCTTGTAGTCCGAGCTACTCGGGAGGCTGAGGCAGGAGAATGGTGTGAATCCAGGAGGCGGAGCTTGCAGTGAGCGAGATTGTGCCATTGCACTCCAGCCTGGGTGACAGAGCAAGACTCCGTCTCAAAAAAAAGAAAGAAAGAAAAAAAAGAATACTTCTGAGAAACAGACTCGGATGGTAATAGGTTTTAACAGCTTTCTTTTACACCTGCGAATCTTCCTCCTTGCTAGAACAGTGGTAAGTAGCCCCAGTTGTACTGGAAAATGCCCTGGAGAGCTTTTGGAAGTGCTGATACCCAGCCCCACCCTCGGAGATCCCGCTGTAATGGGTCCGGGCTGGCAGGCTGGGTGTGCTGTGAGAGTTCTGTGCTTTAAGCACTCCCAGGGTGATGTGAAAGTGCTGCTGCCCGGGACGCTCCACTGGGCTGGAAGGGCTGCCTCTGGCCACTGGGCAGAAGGGGGTTGTCCTTGGAGGATGGGGAAGAGGAGGCTGGGAATGCCTGAGACTGATTGAGCCAGTAAAGGGGCAGGAGGGACTGGGGAGAGGGGAGCCTCCTTCTCTGACACATCCACCCAGGAGCCTGGCTGCTGCCAGCTGTCTGCCCGAGTGGCTGGAGGCAAGAAACCCACTTCCCCAGGGCCTACCTGCAGGCCCCACACAGGCTCCGTGGTGGGTGGTGTGGACTGTAGAAATGTCTGCCTGCAGCGGGGCTCCGCGGCCCACTTCCCGCCCCCCTTCCTCTGTGCCTTCCCTGGTGGGGGAAGACCTACTCTGTGCCCAAAGAGCAGGTGCACAAAGGCCAGGGGTTGCCACCTGGTGGCCCAGTTGGAAGGATCTAGCAAACACACACCCAGCATTGAGGGCAGTGTCCCTTGGACCTGGTGTGGTATACCCTGTGCCCGTGGGAACATCATCCTTGGGCCTGGGGCCTGGGGCCACCCCAAGGAGCAAGGGGGCCCATGGCAGAGAACCATTCCTGCACCACTGGGGCTCAGCAGAGGGGCTCTGCTGCCTGGCCTGAGCTGTCCCTCTAGACATACCCACGCCCGGCCGGGGAAGCTGCTTGCCCTCTTCTGCCTCCCCACTGGTCCTGAGCCCCCTGCTACCCTCTAACCCAGGCCCAGACCCTCAGCCCTCAGGATAGGCTTAGGTGCAGAGCTGGCTCAGCTGTGCGATTGTAACCCCTCCCTCTGAGCCTCCATGTCCTGGTCTGGGAAGTGTTGTGAGGTTTGTAAAATGTGAGGTGTGGATGTGGCCCCAGGCTAGCCGGGGAAGAAGTGGGGATGGGACGTCCTGACCTAGACGTGGAGGCGGAACTCAGTCGCCAGACGGATGTTTCCTGTTGGCGTGAACACCAGGGGAGGAGTCATCCCTAGGTGGATATCCCCCCTGCCAGGCCCCAGGAGGCACCTGGAGCTTCCTGGGTGCCCTGTGGGGCCTGGGGGGGTGGGGACAGGGTGTGTGGTGTGTCGTGCTGGTGGGCCTCGGTGGTGGGCACACATTGTTCACTCAGCTGTCTCTTGTCTTCTCTATTTCTTTGGCTTCTCTCCCCGCCCCCCTTGCCCTGCTTTTGCCCGGGGTTTGGCCGCGGGCAGTGCCAACATACGGCCCTTACGGTAGGTCCCGCTCTTGGTCTGCATGTCTGTCCTGCATGTCAGTTCTGGTCACTGTCACTGGCATGCGTCTCTCTGTAGCTCTTCTCCGTGTCCTCATCTCCTCCCCACCGGCACCCCCTGGGTGGGAGCGCCCAGAGCACCTGTCAAGGGCCACCCTCTGTAGAGCTTGCCTGCTTCCGTCCTCGTTTCTCGTTCTGGAATATGCCCCGCCTTCTTCTGGGGGCACAGTGCTGTTCATGGGATATCGGGGCATTTCACGATGTTTCCAAGAGTTCACAAGCTGAGTCAGGAATCCTGGGTTCCAGGGGTGGGCTCGTCCCTTACATCCAGGTGTCCTGGGCCACCTTTCTGCTCTGAGCCCCTGAGGATGGGGACAGTTGATTAGAGAGATGAGGAGGAAGCCCTCTTAGAGGGAGCCAGTGAGTCGCATCTGCTCCCCTGGGGGTGCAGGCCAGCCTGGTCCTGATCTCCAGAGTAGAGGGAGCACAGCACTTCCCCCGGTGGTGGGGGACGCGCCTGGCACCTGTGGAACCGGGCACCCCTGGCTTCCAGGCCCTCTGGCCCCACATGCCCCAACTTCAGTCAGTGCTGAGCCTGCTCTGGCCTCTCTGGGGCATTCTAGGCTCACTGCCCATAGCTTGCCAGTCTCCACCCTGGGTCCCTTCCCTGCAGCCAGCCCAGCTCCCAGTGGGGGTTTATGTCTGCTCCTCTTCACAGTCCAGCCTCCCCTTGGGGCTCCCCAGCCAAAGAAGTCCATTTTTTCCTGCCCCTTCTCATATCCTGGACCCCATTCTCTGTCCCAGAAGGGATGGTTGAAGGGCATAGCTTTGGGTTGGGGGGTGTCTGTCCCAGGATCACGGGCAGGGGCTGAGCCACCTCCCTCTCACCGTCCCAGCCTCCTCACCTGCCCCTCCCGCTCCCTGCCCGGCAGGCCGCTGTGCCCCCATGAAGAGCATCTCCAGCAGCCTCAAGGAGACCATGAACCCGCACGACATCGTGCAGGACGCCATCCACAACTTCTCACCTGCCTACCAGCAGTACACGCAGCAGTCCACCCTGGAGCCTGGGCCCACCTGGCGTGGTGGCGCCCACGGCCTCTCCCGCTCCCACAGCCTCAGTGGCGCCCGCGACAACGAGAAGACTCTCCTGCTCAGCTCTGATGATGAATTCTAGGTGCGGGCTGCAGTGGCGGAAGTGCTGGCGCCATAGCCACGGTCAGGCTGTGCCCCACCTCCAGCCTCACCACCAGGCCAGGAGGCAGCTGGCACAGTGCTCACGCCGCCTTTATTTATTGGACCAGAAACACTCACATGTCACTTCCAGAGGAACGGGGGACAGCCAGGCTCGCCCATGGGCCTTCAGGAATATTTATACATGGCCCAGCCTGCACTGCCCGGGCGAGGGCAGAGGACACTGGGAGCAAGGCTTATGCCCCTGCTGCCCGTCCTGTGCTGGGGGCATGCTGGGACCAGCCGCACCCAGGCCCCAATGCTTGTGTGTGGACCAGCGGCTGCAGCCTTCTAGCCCCTCCTCCCCGCGAGACTCTCAGGCTGAGGTCGGCAAGCCGTGGCTCCCCCACACACCGTGCAATACCCTGTCTGACCTGGGCTCTTCCCGCCTGCATCCCTCCCCTGTCCACCTTTGTCCAGTGCTAGATTCACCTCACCCCGGGCAGGAGTGGGGATGTGGGCGCTCTGTGGTCCTCCCCTCCTGACCCAGGCCTCTGTGGCATGCTGCAAGGATCAGAGCCAGACACCAGGAGTCACAGGCCCCACCCAGGAAGGGCATTCAGGGCCCCTGGGCACCGCTTCTGTTGAAGCAGGGGCTTCTGGGCCCCTGGGTATCCCCACCTGTCGTGGCCACACCTCTGCCTGCCTCATGCCCCTTCCCCCTGGCCTACCAAGGACAGCCCACAGCCCGCACTGCCGGCTCACTTGGGTCCTTCCTCGATAGCTTTGGGCAGAGCCCTTGCTTCCTGGCTGCTTCAGGGCTCAGGGGCTCCCAGCCCTCCTTCCCAGGCTGATGCTGGGTCCTCTCTCTCTTTGGGGCTTCTCCCTCCCGTTTCAGGGGAAAGGTCTGAGTCTCCACGTTTCAGACCAGCTTCTGGGGGAAGGCAGTCCGGCAGGGAGACCGGGAGGGGTGGCCACACAGTGGGGAGCTGGGAGGTGGGGGGAATGGTCCCAGACTCCTCTCGGGGCCCCTATCCACACAGGGCCTGGTGTTCTACCCCATCTGGCCCCTGGCCCATCTCTTCTGTGCCTTAGTCACATATGAAAGCGCCCCTCCCTGGCTCCCCATCTGTCCCACACGCTCCCTGGGGCTCTTAGTTCAGCTGCTGGCACTCGCAGGATCCTGCAGTGCTGGGCCCAGAGCCCTTGGACAGGCCTCAGGAGTGGTCAGGACCACCAAGCCCCTCCTCTCCCCCTCCACACCTCTAGACCTGGGGCCTCCGGAACCCCCAGCAGGCTGGGCTTATACTAGCTCCTGACTTAGGAAGAGCCTCGTGTCACAACACGTGTCCCTACAGGCAAAGTGTCCTGGCATTTAAAACCCAGATTATCCCTGGGTTTGGGCTGCAGTCACCTGGAGAAGCTGGTAGGGTAAGGGAGAGGGACCCTGCCGGTGTTCACTGGGGATTCTTTCTTTTGGTCCTTCCTGGAATGAACAGGTTCCCTCCCTGCCACCTGTGAGGAGAGTTGGGGCCCAGCCGTCTTCCTGGCCTCCTTCCTTTCCTCGTGGCAGAGGCCTGCATGTGGGTGCCAGAGGCCAGCTCTCCCCCTCCATCTTGGGGGGGCGGAGCAGTTGGGCCCAAGCTGCCCGGGAGGGTGGGTGCAGACACAGGCTGAGGACCAGCCCTGGCCCTGCCCCGCCATCTGCTTTCACCAAGCTGTCTCTCCACCGTGGCTTCCCTTCTCCCTCCAGGCCAAAGTGCTGCTGATTCCCACTCCCTTGGTTTTCGCCTGCCCAGCGTTGCTGTTTGCGTGGAGGGTGGGGGGAGCTCAGTGGCAGGGAATCAGCGGTCCGTGGGGTCGTGGGGACGGGAACATGTGCCCGACCGCTCCATCCCCTCCTCCTCCTTAGGATGCATAACCTACCTTGTCTTTTTTTTTTTTAATTTTCTTTCCAGGTAGAGTAGCTCTTTGTACATAAAGAATACTTGAAAAATTAATTGTATGATGTATGAGAAGACAGAGTCTCCTAGTTTTGTATCTTGTTGTATGACTGCCATGAGTTCCACCAGAAAGCCACTCTATTTTGGTCTCTGTGACATTTTAAATGCGTGACAGAAGTGAGCAAATAAAGTGAGGAAGAAATCTATATATGAGATAATATAGATTGTATTGAAATCTCTGCCTGTGGGTGAGGTTTTTCCTTCCTCCTCCCTGCCCCCTGCTCTGGCTTTGGGGTGGGTGGAGTGGCTGTGGGTACAGGCGGCTTAGGAAACCCTCTCCTTCCTGTGTGTAACCTTTCAGTGATGGGGGTTCGGATTGATAGGGACCAAGGTCAAGGCCCAGGCCCCCCTTGGACAAAGGGTCTCCCCAACCTCCAGCCAGTTCCCAACCCAGGACGGCCGGGCCGCAGGCGGTCGATGCTCCTTCCCTGTTTGGTCAACCAGGTCCATGGGGCCCACATGCTGGCAGCCCCGCTCCTGCAGGCATCTCCCAGGATTTCCTGGGATCCCCCTTTCAGACGAGCTTCCTGCGTCTCTGGGACTGTCCTCCACCCTGGGACCCTCAGGGCCAGGGACCCTGGGGCAGGGGGCCGCTGGCTGTGGGCACAGTGCCTGGCCTCTCTGGTACCGCATGCCTTCTTGGGGCCTGGCTTGCTGCTGACGGGAGCACTCAGGAATGCGGTGTGGGTGGGGGAATTCCCACCAGCCTCCCGAGGCGGGTAAATAGCCTGCGTCCTCCCGCAGCTTCCTGCTGCCCTTCCCGCAGGCCTGAGCTCAGCATTTCAGGGTCATGGGCTTGGCAGGGAAAGCACCGAGCCCCAACCTGAGAAGGGGAGAAAGCCCCGTGGACACGGCCTACCTACGTGATCTGGCCCTTTCCCGGACTCAAATCCTGCACCTTCGCCCAACTGGTCCCTTACCCCGCGGGCCCCATACCCAGCCAGCCCCATACCCAGCCATAGAGTTGGCCTCACCTCGGTCTGTGCCACTGTAAATGTGTGTTCGGAGTGTTAAAACCTGCAGCCCCACAGGTCTCCAGGGTTTTTCGCACGTAATGCCCCATAGCATCTTCATTTTACAGATGGTAAACTGAGACTGTAAGAAACCAAATAAGTACCAAAGATCCCACAGCTAAGAACAGACACCTAGATTCAAACCCCAATTGCCGTGACCCACAGACCACAGTATACTCCACTCCTTCTTCAGGGTGCCCCAGAAGGGCTGGCAGATTGGGTTGAAATTAGTGAGTTTGAGGCCTAGGACAAGACACAGGGTTATGGTTTAGGCCTGCAGGTGGGGGCTGGGAAAGCCACTCTCCCTGCCTCCCTGGGCATTCCGAAACATGGGGAAGATAGTTTCCACTTGGCTGTAGAAAATCAGATCTCAATGTGAAAGTGCTGGAAAAATTACTCTGAAATCTGGGTTTTTTCCTCTCTGGGTGGGACTGTCTGTTCACTAAAGGGATGCCCAGGGAATTTAACCCTAAATTTCTTCTTCTTTTGAGACAGGGTCTGTGTCACCTAGATTGTGCAGTGGTGCAATCATAGCTCACTGCAGCCTCAAACTCCTGGGCTCAACCACACCACCATGACTGGCTAATTGTTTTCTTTTCTTTTCTTTTCTTTTTTTTTTTTTTTTTGAGATGGAGTCTTGCTCTGTCACCCAGGCTGGAGTGCAGTGGCGCGATCTCAGCTTACTGCAACCTCTGCTTCCCGGGTTTAAGCGATTCTCTCTTGTCTCAACCTCCTGAGTAGCCAGGACTACAGACATGCGCCACCACACTCAGCTATGTTTTTCTGTTTTTTGTTTTGTTTTTCTTTTTTTTTTTGAGACGGAGTCTCACTCTGTCGCCCAGGCTGGAGTCCAGTGGCGCGATCTCAGCTCACTGCAAGCTCCGCCTCCCGGCTTCACACCATTCTCCTGCCTCAGCCTCCCGAGTAGCTGGGACTACAGGCGCCCGCCACCATGCCCGGCTAATTTTTTTTGTATTTTTAGTAGAGACGGGGTTTCACCGTGTTAGCCAGGATGGTCTCGATCTCCTGACCTCGTGATCTGCCTGCCTCAGCCTCCCAAAGTGCTGGGATTACAGGCATGAGCCACCGCACCCGGGCCATGTTTTTTTTTTGTTGTTGTTGTTTTTTGTATTTTTAGTAGAGACGGGGTTTCACCGTGTTAGCCAGGATGGTCTCGATCTCCTGACCTCGTGATCCGCCTGCCTCAGCCTCCCAAAGTGCTGGGATTACAGGCGTGAGCCACCGCACCCGGGCCATGTTTTTTTTTTGTTGTTGTTGTTTTTTGTATTTTTAGTAGAGACGGGGTTTCACCATGTTGGTCAGGCTGGTCTTGAACTCCTGACCTCAAATGATCCACCCGCCTCAGCCTCCCAAAGTGCTGGGATTACAGGTGTGAGCCACTGCGCCCGGCCTGTTTTCTTACTTTTAAATTTCTTGTAGAGATGGGGGTCTTGCTATGTTGCCCAGCCTGGTCTCAAACTCCTGGCCTCAAGTGATCCTCCCACCTCAGCCTCTTCAGTAGCTGGAACAATAGGCATGTGTACCACCACATGTGGCTAATTATTTTTTATTTTTTGTAGAGATGGGGTGTCACTATGTTGCCCGGGTTGCTCTTGGACTCCTAGTCTCAGATGATCCTCTTGCTTCAGCCTCCCAAAGTGCTGGGATTACAGGTGTGAGCCACCATGCTCCGCCAGAATCCAGTCCTAAATTTCATTGTGCCCATGGCTTTGTCTTCCCAGGAGCTCCTGTGCTCTAAGCAACCAAGAGGAAGCATCGAAGTTTCAGCATCACTGGTCTCTGTCGCCATCTCCCCTCCACCTCATACCCTGTGCAATAGCTGGTGATGTGCACTAGCCCTCCCCGCCACCAGAAGCCCTAAGGGGTTGAAAGCAGAACCCCATTTTAGACACCCCTCGCCAAAAAACATAGTCCAGGATACACATTTATTCTCTGTGGAAAAAGAAAGAATTTGACTTTATTTAGAAAGTCTACAAAATACAGAAGACGATAACTCGCTTGCTGTAAGTCAGGAAATAAATAAATTCTAGGAGCCGGGCAATATTTTTTAACTTTTTTTTTGAGACAGGATTTTGCTATGTTGCCCAGGCTGGAGTGCAGTGGTGCGATCTCAGCTCACTACAACCTCTGCCTTCTGGGCTTAAGTGATCCTCCTGCCTCAGCCTCCCAAGTAGCTGGGACTACAGGCATGAGCCACCATGCATGGCTAATTTTTGTATTTTTTGTAGAGATGGGGTTTCACCATGTTGTCCAGGCTGGTCTCAAACTCCTGGACTCAAGCGATCCCCCTCCTTGGACTCCCAAAGTGCTGGGATTACAGATGTGAGCCACCGCGCCCGGCTTAAACATTTTTTGTTGTTGCTCTCCGGCTTTCCCTAAATATAAGATAAAATGTGATTTATTTGCAGATATAAAATATAAAGCCCAGCTCAGGGCCATACGCCACTTTTCCCAGGGAGCAGGAGCTCGGGCTCTGGCTGGGGAGAATAACTTAGATCCGTGCAATAAATAAACAGTGGGGAGGGGCAGTGTGGACAGTGTTGGGGGAGGGACTGAGACTGGGCTTCCCAGGAGAATGACAATCAAAGGCAGGGGTCAGCCCCCACCCCACAGTGGACACTGACAGGGGTTGAGGTGGGACCCTTCTTCTTAGGACCCCACTCCAGACTGTAGTAGGACTGCAGGGTCTGTCTCCTTGTCTCCCTATTTGCCACAGCAGTCCATGGCCCCCTTTCTCTGACTGGCCAGCCCCCGGACACCCTGGCTGCAGGGACAGCCTAGGGCTGAGCCAGGCCAGCTCCTTCCCACTCTTCCATCCGTGTCACCTTCTCTCTCCCTCTGCTTCTCTCCCCCTCCCTTGCAGAGAGCGGTCTCCCAAGCCAGGGAGGCCCTCCCACCACATTTCTGAGTCCCTGTCCACTGTCCCCCTGAAAACCATGGCTGGACTCAGGGCAGCAGTGAGGACACCCAGGTTTTGGTCCCAACACAACCACTAAGTGAAATGTGACCTCAGGCCTGTTTCCCCATCCGTGAACTGGGTTTCACTAGTCTTCCCACCCACTCTTTTAGTTTCGGAAGGCCAGGCACCCCCAGGCCCAACCAGAGGTGGGGGCATCTCTTCAGTGCAATTTCTCAGCAGGACGGTCCCGTAAGTCACAGACAGCCAAACCTAGCTTTGAATCCTGGGAGGGTTTGGAGGGCATATTGGCACAATAAGAGCAGTTTCCAAGATGAGGGGTGCCCTCTTCTCCCCCAACAGCTGTTCTCTAAGCCGGCTCTGTATCTCTCAATCTAAAAAGGCTAAACTTTCAGCCAAGGGCGATCCCAGATCCAGACCTCTGCCCCATCCCCAACCTACCCAAGTTCCCCTTCCCAGGGTCATTCGGTCCCAGTTTGGGGGGCTGCAAGAGGAAGACAGGGCCCACGAAGGGAATGTGTGTGCACCAAGGGGCCAGTGCTGCAGAGAAATGGGACCTGGGCACAGAGGCGGCGCTCAGGCACTTTGGGGAGGGAGCTGAGGCCGGAGGGGCGTGGCTGAGGCATGGCGGGGGCGGGCACTAGGAGCAGGAGGCCGGGCCGTGGGCGGGGTCCGGGCCGTGGGCGGGGCCAGACCCCGAGCCCGGGGTGGACTTGACGATGGTGATGACGCTGGCCGGCGCCACGAGCGTGGCGGGCCCGCGGGCGGCGGCCACGGAGCGCGCGAAGCCCTGCAGCGCCTCGCACTTGCCGCGCAGCGCGTCGAGCTCCAGGCGCATGGCGGCGTTCTCGCGCGCCAGCTTGTCCACCTCGCGCTCCAGCTCCGACTTCTGCTTCTGCAGCTCCTCCTTCTGGCACACGCGCTTCACGCGGCAGCTGGCGGCGTAGCCACGGTTTTTGAGTGTGCGGCGCCGCTGCTTGAGCCGTGTCACCTCCTCGGCGGAGAGCCCGCGCAGATGCCGGTTCAGCTCGCGCACCGACAGCCCCATCAGCGCCTCGTCCGACAGGTGCGGCGTGTTCTCGCTCAGCTCTCGCTTGATCTGCGGGCATGAGGAAACTGAGGTCCAGGGGACTGGGGACGGGCCCCCCCGCTCCACCCGCGGTGTTCCTCTTTCACCGCCTTAGCCGCCGAGGTGGTGGGTGGACTTGATCCAAAACCCCGAAGGGGAGCAGGAATCCGGGAAGGGGAAACCGGGCCAGACTAGGATCGGGACACAAAAGGAGGCCACCCCGGGGCTCAGCCTGAATTCTAACCTAGCGCCAAGCCCTGGACTCAGCCAGAGAAACCCAGGTCGGAAAGCACCTTTGAATGCCCCAGGGGACATTGACCCGATGGGGAAGGAGGCCTGGAGAGGGAAGTGACCTACCCCAGGGACATGCAGCCTGTGACCAGAGCCCAGGCCTCCTGGTCCCAGCCCATGGCTGTGGCCCTTCCCTTTGGCATCATGAAGGCCTGGTGCCTGCTGAGCCACCCAGGGGATTCCAGGAAAGAAGGGGAAGTTGGGATGAGGAGGCTCTGCATGGGCAGGGAGGGAGGGCTTCACTGGGTTGACAGAGGCTGCCTCCTCACCTTTAGAGCTTTGCTGGATAGGGGATCCACAGACATGTTTGCAGAAGGTGCCCTCTGGGCTGCAGACCTAGGGTAGAAAGGAGGTCAAAGTCACTGTTTTGTTTTTGGTTTCCCATTTAGAATAAAATCCAAACTCACTACCTTGCCATTCAAGGCCTCTGCTATCTTAGAACTGATTCATACCTGCCACCTTCCTCTCTCCACATTGGTCCACAGGCCTCCTTGAATGGCTCCTTCCAGCCGCGGGAGCTGTGCACAGGCTGTGCTCTTTACTGTTCTAGCCCCATGGTGACTCCTCATCATTTAGGTCTTTGCCCAATGTCACCTCCTCAGGAGGTCCTCTTTGACCATTCTGGCTAAACGCCTCTGTGTCACATCACATAACCCCGCCTATTAACCCTTGTAACAGTCACCTCTTCTGCATTTCTCATGCTTGGTTCCTCATCTATGATTTGTTTCTCCTTCCCACTCCTCCTCCACCAAAACGGAAGCCAATGAAGGCAGAGGCCTTCCCTGTCTCACCACGGCATCAATATGCCTAAATCAGTGCCTGGTATATAGTAGATGGCTCAGTAAGTGTGCACCAAATGAATAGATGTGCCTCTCCTGACCATTCTTCCACATGGGGCTTGGACATGTGCCTTTGATTTGATTTTTCAGAACTTTTCTTTCTCTTTTTCTTTCTTTCTTTTTTTTTTTTTTTTTTTTTTTTTGAGACAGAGTCTCACTCTGTCACCCAGGCTGGAGTGCAGGGGCGCGATCTTGGCTCACTGCAACCTCCGCCTCCCGTGTTCAAGGGATTCTCCTGCCTCAGCCTCCCAAGTAGCTGGGATTACAGGTGCCTGTCACCACGCCCAGCTAATTTTTTGTATTTTTAGTTTATTTTTATTTTTAGAGACAGGGTTTCGCCATGTTGGCCAGGCTGGTTTTGAACTACTGACCTCAGGTGATCCACCCGCCTCAGCCTCCCAAAGTGCTGGACAGGTGTGAGCCACTGTGCCCAGCCAATTTTTCAGAACTTTTCTTAAAGTATAACCTACATACAGAAAAGTACACACAGCATATGTGCACCAGTAAATGCCTTTACACAAAGCCCATCCAGCACCCCGTAAGATACAACATCAGCCAGTCCCCTCTCTCCCCAGGCCTCCTTCATCTAGACCTCTGTTTTGGGAAAGTTTTCCCAACCTCCTGGGGGCTGCCCCATACTAACTCAGCATGCCCTAGGCAGATGGGGCAGCCATCCCTAGACCAATGAGGGCCTCTCATCTCCTAATCCTCCCTCCCACAGGCCTGACAGCCACATGCTCCTTCAACAACTATTTATTGAGCTCTTTGCCAAACATGTACTTGGTAATGGGGAGAAAAAGGTGAATAAAACTCGTGGAGGGTCAGTGGTCATTGCTCTGGGCTGGAGAAGGGGACCATCTCCCAAAGTCCCCTTTAAAGCAGCAGTCCTCTCTGTCTCTAGCTGATAGGATCTACTTTGCCAATCCTCTCAGGTTCTCCGCCATGAGAACCTGAGTTTTCTCATCTGTCTCCAAGGGGAGGGGGCAGTGATAAGAAGCCAAGGAAAATAAAGGAAGATAGGCTGGGCGCGGTGGCTCACGCCTGTAATCCCAGCACTTTAGGAGGCTGAGACGGGCAGATCACCTCAGTTCAGGAGTTCAAGACCAGCCTGGCCAACATGGCAAAACCCTGTCTCTACCAAAAACACAAAAATTAGCCCAGGCGTGGTGGTGCATGCCTGTAGTCCCAGCTATTTGAGAGGCTGAGGCAGGAGAATTGCTTAAACCTGGGAGGTGGAGGTTACAGTGAGCCGAGATTGCGCCACTGCACTCCAGCCTGGGAGCCTGGGTGACAGAGTGAGACTCCATCTCAAAAAAAATAAATAAATAAAAAGAAAACAAAGGAAGATGCTTTGTGATCTGAGCTGTAGCATCCTATAAACACGTACCGTATCGGAAAGAGCATCACCCAGTTTTGTGGACAGCAGAGGGCAAAAGCCAGATCCAAGTCCTGGTTCCTTGAGCTGTCTACAGGGTTGACCTCACGGGTTGGCTCAGCCTCTGACACATTCTGGCAGGACCGGGGTGTCTCCCAGGGACAAGGTGCAGAAATGGAAAGCACATGGACCTTGGTGCCAGACACACCTGGGGCCTTTTGGGGGTGGTCTCGCTCTCTAGTTGTGTGGTTCTGATAGGTCAGCCACTCTTTCTGTGCCTCACTTTCCCCCTGGGTGACACAGGTAGCTGTGTTAAGTCAGCTCATGTCACACCTCTCTCAGGACCTTCCCACGGCTCACTGGAGTAAAGCCAGAGTTGTCACCATGGCCCACAAAGTGCTGCAGAAAGTGATCCCCAGTGGCCGGGCGCGGTGGCTCACGCCTGTAATCCCAGCACTTTGGGAGGCCAAGGCGGGTGGATCATGAGGTCAGGAGATCGAGACCAGCCTGGCCAACATGGTGAAACCCCGTCTCTACTAAAAATACGAAAATTAGCCGGGCGTGGTGGCACGTGCCTGTAGTCCCAGCTACTTGGGAGGCTGAGACAAAAGAATCGCTTGAACCCGGGAGGCGGAGGTTGCAGTGAGCCAAGATTGTGCCACTGCACTCCAGCCTGGGCGAGAGTGAGACTCCGTCTGAAAAAAAAAAAAAAAAGAAAGTGCTCCCCAGCATCCCTTCTCCAACCTCAGCCCTACTTGGCTTCCTTTTGTTTCCCCTGCCTCAGCCACACCCGCCCTTCCTCAACACAGGATGCACGCTCCTCTCCAGGGCCTTTGCACTGGCTGGTCCCTCTGCTGGCGTTTTTGTTTTTGTTTTTGTTTTTTATACAGGGTCTCACTCACTCCGTTACAGGCTGGAGTGCAGTGACACGATCACAGCTCATTGCAGCCTCAAACTCCCAGGCTCAAGTGGTCCTCCTACCTCAGCCTCCCTAGTAGCTGGAACTATAGGTGCATGCCACCACACCTGGCCAATTTTTGTACTTTTTGTACAGACAGAGTTTCATCATGTTGCCCAGGCTGGTCTTGAACTCCTTGGCTCAAGCGATCCGCCTGCCTCCGCCTCCCAAAGTGTTGGGATTATAGGCATGAGCCACGACGCATGGCCTCTGTTGGCATCCTTGTTCCCTAGATATCCACAAAGTTTGCTCCATCACCTCCTGAGGTCTCTTCAAATCTCATGTTCACTCAGTTTAGAATTTGCAACCCCTGATACACACACGGACACACACACACACACACACACACACACACACACACACTCCCTGTGTCCCTTCCCCACCTCAGGTTTCCCCATGTGTAATTGTCATCACTCACATATATGGTGGTTATTTGTTCAGTGTCTGTCCCTCCCAACCCCCCGATTAGAATGCCAGCTCCATGAGGGCAGAACTTATACCTGATTCACCGCGGCCTCCCCCATGCCTAGAACCGCGCCTGGCACCTCGCAGATACTCAAGGAATCCTTGCTGAGTTCTCAGTGTGACTCAGGCCAAGGTGGGGACAGTCCAGGGCTTCTCAGGAAACTCCCCAGCTCCTCCCAGCCCACACAGTCAGGGGGTCTGGCAGCTCACAGGGAAGGAAGGAGTGGGACAGAAGGAAGTTGGCGCTTGCAGAGATCCCCTGACAGGGGCAGCCACTGTGGCCCTTAAGCAGGAGAGTCTTAGGGGTCACCCAGGTTTCGCTGGGGGTAGCTGGGTGGACCCAGAGTGCCAGGTCAGGACCCAGGCAGCTTTAGACCCCTGTGCGGATCCACGGTGAAGACCAGTGGCTTCATGGGGTGACCCCTGAGCTGCGACCCCCCACTGCTGAACATGCCGGCTTAGCCTGGGCTCTGGCCTCAGTTTCCCTGCCTAGCACTCCAAATCCTAGGGGGCTCAGGCCCTGGCTGCCCACCTAGCTCTCCTTGGGGGCCTCTGTGCACTCCCATCCTACCTGGAAAAGTCATATGAGATCTGCTGGCTACCCTGACCTTTCAGATACTATCTGGAGACGTTTACATGTCAACCTCACCGATCCTACCTTTCAATGCAGGCCTTTTTTTTTTCCCTTTTTTTTTTTTTTTTTTTTTTGAGATGGAGTCTCGCTCTGTCGCCCAGGCTGGAGTGCAGTGACAGGATCTCAGCTCACTGCAACCTCCGCCTCCTGGGTTCAAGCGATTAGCTCTGCCTCAGCCTCCTGAATAGCTGGGACTACAGGCGCCTACCACCACGCCCAGCTAATTTTTGTATTTTTAGTAGAGACAGAGTTTCACCATATTGGTCAGGCTGGTCTCGAACTCCTAACCTCAGGTGATCCACCTGCCTCGGCCTCCTGAAGTGCCGGGATTACAGGTGTGAGCCACCACGCCCAACCCAATGCAGGCCTCTTAAGTGGTCACCCTCACCACCCTACACACACCTGGGGAGGTCCCAGCACACCTCCCTGCTGGTCTCAGCTCATTCCCACACAGCAGCTGGACAATCTTTGCACCACGCGAATCTGACCATGCCACCAGCCAGATTAAAGCCTTCCATGGTTCGGCTGGGCAAGGTGGCTCATGCCTATAATCCCAGCACTTTAGGAGGCTGAGGCGGGCGGATCACAAGGTAAGGAGATTGAGACCATCCTGGCTAACATGGTGAAACCCCGTCTCTACTAAAAAATACAAAAAATTAGCCGGGTGTGGTGGCAGGCACCTGTAGTCCCAGCTATCAGGAGGCTGAGGCAGGAGAATGGCGTGAACCCGGGAGGTGAAGCATGCAGTGAGCCGAGATCGCGACACTGCACTCCAGCCTGGGCGACAGAGTGATACTCCATCTCAAAAACAAACACAAAAACAAACAAGCAAACAAAAAAAAAACCTTCCATGGTTCCCTACTATCCTAAGGATGGAGTCCAGACCCACCCTCCCAGCACCCCAGGCCCTGTGTGTCCAGCCCCACGCCCATTTCCCACCACTGCCACCTCCACTCTGTGCTCCAGCCACACAGAATTTCTTTCACTTCCTCCCACCCGCGCTTTCTTGCCTCTGAGCCACCTCCCACCCCATGATATTTCTCTCCCCTCACTCCCCTCTACTTTGTTTGGCAGACTCCTACTCATCCTTCGGCCCTGGGTGCAGACATCTCCTCCTCCAGGAAGCCCTCCCTGATCCCTAGGACTTGTTAGGGACCCCCACCCCTGTGTGTAATGGGTTGTATTTCCTTGCTGTCTCTCCACCAGACAGGGAGAGGCTGAGTCAGCTCTGGGTGCTTGAGGCCACCCATCTCAAGACCTGGCAGGGAGCAGGCACTGGGGAAGGGTGGATGGTCAGAGTCTCTGACGCCATCACCCAGCTTGTCACCAAGCCGGGTTCCAAGCCGAAACGTAGTTCAGTACCTCCTGGCCCTGTCTCTAATTCTTCCTCCTCTCCAGCTGCTTCCTTGGGCCTGTTGGCAGAGACAGTACAGATGCTAGGCGAATGGGAAGAGAGCAGAGGGGATCCCATCCACGTGACTTTGGGCCCAAAGGTGGGGTGTGGGAAACAGGGAAAGGAGCACTGGATTGGGAGTCAAGCTTGGGTTTAAGTCGCATCTCTGTTTTCTCAGGCTGTGTGACCTGGGGTGAGCCACTCCATCTCTCTGGGTCTCCACTTTCCCATCTAAAGGATCGGAACAATACCTGCCTCGCAGGGTTTTGGTGGAATCAAGTGGTATACACTGTAGAGGTCAGTGAGCAGCTGGGAGGTTAGAATTGCTGTCTGTCCAGGAGGGGTCAGGCCTGTAGCCAGCACTGGGGTCTCGCTCTGATTTAGCATCTCCCAGCTGGCTGGGGTCACACAGGGAACTGCAGGAAAGGCCCTTAGAGGCCATCAGGTCCTGCCTCCTCCCTTTACCCAAGGGGAGGTAGAGACCCAGAGAGGGGCAGCACTTGCCTGAAGTCACACAATAGGTGTGAATGAATAGCTGCAAAGGCCCAGGACTGAAACCTGGTCCCTTCACACCGTCACCTCCCTGGTTCGCCCAACCCTGAGGTAATGCCCAGAGAGGACAATAGAGTAGTCCAGGCTCATACAGCCAGCATGGGGTAGAATTCAGGCCTGAGAGTTCAAGACCAACCTGGGCAAGATGGCTAGACTCCATCTCCAAAAAATAAAAAGATTAGCCGGGTGCAGTGGTGCACACCTATAGCCCCAGCTACTCAGGAGGCTGAGGCAGGAGGAACCATTGAGCCCAGGAATTCAAGGCGGCAGTGAGCTGTGATCCCGCCACTGCACTCCCTGGGTGACAAAGCAAGACCCCGCCTCTTAAAAAAAAAATTAGCCGGGTGTGGTGGTGGGCGCCTGTAGTCCCAGCTACTGGGGAGGCTGAGGCAGGAGAATGGCGTGAACCCGGAGATGGAGCTTGCAGTGAGCTGAGATCGCGCCACTGCACTCCAGCCTGGGTGACAGAGCGAGACTCTGTCTCAAAAAAAAAAAAAAAAAAAAAAAAAAAAAAAAAAAGATGGCCAAGCAAGGTGGCTCATGCCTGTAATCCCAGCACTTTGGGAGGCCGAGGTGGGCGGATCATGAGGTCAGGAGACTGAGACCATCATGGCTAACACAGTGAAACCCTGTCTGTACTAAAAATACAAAAAATTAGCTGGGCCTGGTGGCACACACCTGTAGTCCCAACTACTCAGGAGGCTGAGGCAGGAGAATCGCTTAGAACCTGGGAGGCAGAGGTTGCAGTGAGCCGAGATTACGCGACTGCACTCCAGCCTGGGTGACAGAGCAAGACTCCATCTCAAAAATAATAATAATAATAATAATAGAATTCAGGCCTGAGGCCACATGGAGCCACACACCTCCTCCCTGTGTGGCCCTGGCAGGGCGACCTCCCTGGGCCCTGTTTCCCTAGCCCTGTGAAGATGAAGCTGGACTTGCCAGTTTCCAAGGCCACCCCAGCTCTGATTCTCCAGGATTTGTGTTGGGCCCGCTAGGGATACGATTTGCAAGTTACAGTTAAGTATCCAGGCCCCCTTACCAGCCGTTTGGGGAGCTGGCACGTGCAGTGATGCTTGGCCACCTGAGCTACACAGAAAGACCCAATGGGAGAAGGGAAGCCTCTCCCCACGCAAGTTAATCAACTGCCCTTTGGGTGTTGCGGCTGATACAGAACCTCAGAGGCACAGTCTGGCCTCATGCACAAGTCATTTTTCCTGAGTCCTGGATTCCTTGCTAAGTGGGAATAATCACAATAATCTTGGTGTGTAAAATATAAAGGCTTAGGCAAGGCCAGGCGTGGTGGCTCACGCCTGTAATCCCAGCACTTTGGGAGGCCAAGGTGGGCAGATCATCTGAGGCCAGGAGTTCAAGAACGGCCTGGCCAACATGGTGAAATCCTGTCTCTACTAAAGAAAAAAAAAAATGCAAAAATTAGCCAGGTGTGGTGGCGCACACCTATAGTCCCAGCTACTTGGGAGGCTGAGGCAGAAGAATTGCATGAACCCGGGAGGTGGAGGTTTCAGTGAGCTGAGAACAAGCCACTGGACTCCAGCCTGGGCAACAGAGCGAGACTCCATCAAAAAAAAAAAAAAAAAAAAAGGAGGCATAGGCAAGAAAGATCACCTCATCTCACCATCATCCCACTATCCACAAGCAACAGAGACATCACTAACCACACACAGCACCAATTCCCAGTGAGGCAGGCCACAGCCCCTGAGTCTTTCTCAGCACAGAACTGTTTTCTCCTGAGCTTGGACACAGCCTAGAATCCTCAACACTGCCTCCAGACCAGGCCTGAGAGATGGAACCATCAGCCATTCCCTATCCTTGATAATAGCGGAAGCTGGCTGTGATTGTAAATACCCTCAGGTGCTAGGAAGGTTTTGAACCTGCTCTTCCCCCACTCCTCCATGCCCTCCTGTCCGAGCCTCAGCCCCCTCAACCGCATCCTGGATGTCAGCTGAGGCACCCACGTTTGCCCAGGAATGTCCTAGCTCAGCAGTCAGGCAATCACAGGGGGAAAGTCACAAGAAGGGGGAACTTTCTGGTAACCTCAGGCTTTCCGCTGCCAACCCCAGGCCAGGGGCTGCCAAGGGGCCTGGGTCCTCTGCCTTTGCCAGGCTGGCTGACCCTGGGCCTGAGAAATAGTAGCTGATCCGATCCCCTGTTCAGCACCTGAGGCAACCAAGCCACTGTTTGGTAGCCGTGGCGGACTGGAACCCAGGGGTCCTCTGTCTTCTATGTCGGCCACCACCACCTCTCCCTGGCTTCTTCCCTTGGAAGCCAGCAGAGCTGACCTCCAGGGTCTGCAGGTTCATGACGTCTTCTGGAGGCATAAGGAGAGAGGTGACTCTTGAGGGACTGACAACTGCCTTGTCCAGTCAGCAGCCACAACCCTCCAACGTCCCCCTCCCTGGCCCCACCAGTCCACTCCAGAGACATCCTGTAGAAGGCCCACCCGCTGGCATGGGCTCCTTTCTGGCTGCTGAGCCATTCTGCTCGCTCTGTGAGGACAGGGAAAAAATGTGTTTTCCTAGCTCTTGGCAGTCAGCACTGCTGGAGCCTCCTCCCTGCTGGAAGGGGAGCAAGGCTGGAAGAACCAAGCACCACAGAGAAGCAACGGCCTGGGGTTCCAGCCCCAGTTCAGGTACCCTCTCACACTCGCTGTGTGGCCTCAGGTACGGCACTCCCTCTCTCTGGGCCTCAGTTTTCCCACTATGCCAAACGTCCTCCGAGCCTAAGGTACCTTCCAACAATGACTGTCTCTGAGTTTAGAGTTTCAGATTCTGGCCCAGAGCTCCAAGACCACCAGCAGAATGGAGGTAGGGAAAGGAAAGCGGTGAAGGCTTCCTGGAGGTGGGGGCATGAGACACAAACTATCAGACTATCAGACTAGCCCTCTTCTCCACCTGCACAGCCACAGACCACTTCCTCCTTCATCTGGACCATGACCACAACCGCCTGCTCACCAGCCTCTTGCCTTGCCCTCCGTCTCCAATCCCCATCATTGATCCTCCCCCAAGAGCTGTCAGAGGAATCACTACTGACACAAACCCACGAGCCTGTCCGTGCTTGGCCCATTTCAAAACCCTGCAATGCCAGCCTCCCCGCAAGCCAACACAGTAGGGTCCTCAGGCCTCAACCGTATTCCTGTCCACTCTCTCCCAGGATCGTATGCTAACAGATGAATGAACAGACAGCAAATTCTACTATCCCTGAATGTTTCCCAAAGGGACAAGCGGGCAGTGCATGCCTGTGTGTGTGAGGGAGGAAGTTGCCTGAGTCCTGAAGGATTTGCTCGCTTTTGGGAGACTGCTTCAAGATTCCCCCAGCCCCTGCCCTGGCTTCCTGTTTCTCTGGGGTTCCCAGGCCTTTTTCTCCATGTGTTGTGGAGCTCTTAGAGGGCAGGGATCCAGGGCTCATTCATTCAATCAGCAAACATCCAAGAAGCACCTACTATGTTCCAGGCTCTGTGCTGGGCCCTGGAGACCCTGAAGTGAATCACAGCTCCTGCCTTCAAGGGCTTCACAGACAACCACCACTCTATCAGACTCAGCACACTAGTCACCTCCCCAGGGAAGCCTTCCTTGATTGCCCTGGCTAAGTCAGAGCGCTGTTATGTACTTTCAAACCACAGTGACTTCTCCCTCACATCACCCATCTAAGCTGTGTTTTGCATTTACTTCTGTGGATCTTTTTTCAAGTTTGTGTCCGCTGCTGAGCTATAAGCTCCCAGAGGGCAGTCTCTGGATCTGGTCTGTTCATCTCATCCCTGGCATCTGGTCCAGGACAAGGGCCCAATGGCAATGCAGGGCCCAGGGGTGATTCAATGGGAAGTTAAACTTCTCAGTGCTAACTTTCCATCTGGGACTGAGTCAACCAGCCACTTCCCCTCATCCCCTGACCCCAGGCCCTACTTTGTAATGTTTCCTGCCCAGCTTTGAGGGTGGGCCTGTCTGGTTCCTGTGCTCCTGGCCCCAACCCTCCTGACTCAAACCCCACCTACTCTTGGGTACCCCCAGCTCCTGGCATGGGGCTGTCAGCCCTGCTTTCTCTTCCACAATTCACCTGGAAAATACGCTGTCTGCACAGACTTCCAGAGCTTCCCCCTTCTACCCACCATCCTGCCATCCTGGCTGTTACCTAGTTCCCAGTGGTAGATGGGAATACTGAGGGTCCGGGCTGCTGTAGCAGAGCTCACCCAGGGTTCAAAGATCCAAAGTCAAAAGATCATTGGTTCCTCACCCTAGCAAGTTCAATTGCTCCCCTCCCACAATTCCATAGACCGTGGGTGGGTGGGTGGAGGGGGAAGGTGGATTAAGACCAAGGAATCTCTAGCCCCCAGCCCATCCTGCAGGCGGCTACGACAAACAGGTGCTTTCTGCAGGGCTATTGGGTGAGTGGGTGGGTGGCGGCTAGGTCAGGCCCCACCCCTCACTCATTAACCCTCCGTGCAGTCAGAGTTCTATCCCCAATGCCTACTGACCCTGCCTGGCCCAGGGTGAGGGCACTCGGGGTCTGTCGGCTGGCTCAGAGCCTCAGCTAGCTTCCGGCGTCCAGCTGTAGGTCAGTCTAGTCTCACCAGTCCCACTTGTGAACTGAAACTACCAGGAGAGCGGAAACCGGCTCCGCCCCATCCTCCACGACCTAGCAGGTACAGCCTCCAGAACCCGGACTAGCTAAAAGCCTGTGGTCCTCTCCCTGCGCCGCACCCTTGCAGTCAAGGTTTTCTGGCCCTTCCTGTTCTCATGGGACTGAGGGGATGGGCAACCCTGGGGACGAACGAGAGTCCCTTGGTTCTTCCCTCCCCAGGAAGCCCCAAAATCTGGGGACAAGAACCTGGGCTCCAACTCACTTTGTTACCAGATCCACCGGGGTGCCAAGCGGGGGTGGCTCACATCCCTCACTCCTAGCTCAGCTGGGTGGGGTCTTTGATACCTTGCCCCACCCTGTGGCTGCGGGCGCGGGCTCTGGGCGGGAGACAAACACTGGGGTCACGTGGCGGAGGCCCTGGGAAACTCCGGGGAGAGCCGGGGACGGACAGCCCCGGGTAGTAGGACTGGGGCGGCCCGGGCCAGAATTCCCAGACCCCGTGCGAAGACGCACGGGTCCGCTTCCTTCGCTCGGGTCCTTGTTCCGCGTTTACTCCGGTGGCCGGCCCAGGGCACGCCCTCTCCGAGGTACACACTGCTGGTGTACAGGCCCCAGGGAGCGCGCGCGCGGACACGCACACACAAGCACAACACACGCACACACGCCCCCGAGGTACACAGCGCACGCACGCACCGGGCAGGATACCCAGGCCGCCCGCCAGGGAACACACGCCCGCCCTCGGACGTAAACAAACCGCGCACGCACCGCCCGCGGGCGCCGGGCCAGGGCCTGTTCCCACCGAGTCACGTAGGAGCACAGCGCCCCCGCCCCCGCCGGGCGGACGCGGAGATCGCCGGCCTGCGCTGCCCCTTCCTCCCGGCGCCGCCGCCTACCCGCCCGCGCCCCGGGAAGGGGCCCCGTCTCCACCCCCACTCCCCCGAGCTGGCCTCGGCCCCGTCCTCGGCGTCCCCGGGACGGCCGCTCCCTTCTCCCCGCCCCGAGCCGTCCGGGCGATGGAGCTCCGGGAGCCCCGACGGATCGGGCCCGGGCGCCCACCCCAGGCGCATCCCGGGACGCAGAAACCCTGCCGCCTTGGGGTCCCGCGCACCGTCCTCCTGGTCCCGCGTTCCTCACCCGCTTCTGGGCCCGCTTGGTCCGGCGCGCTCACACACGCGCGTCTCGCCGCTGTCCCGGCCGCTGTCCCGATCCGCGCTCCGGTCAGTCTCCCCTCCGCTCTGAGCCGCAGGTCGCTCTGAACCGGGCGCCCGGGAGCGCTGCGCTGAGTTTTGTTGTGGGGCGGGCGGCGCAGGGGGCCGAGGCCGCGCGGAGTTGTAAGGCGAGCTTCCCGGAATTACTCACTCACAGGATTCCTTTCATTCATAAAAACCCAGTCATGCGGTGACGTCACCGACCCGGCCGCCCTCCGGCCAGGAGCGGCCGCTTGGTCCCTCGGCCCCGCCCCCGTATGACCCCGCCCCCTGGAAGCCCCGCCCCCGGGGCTGCCGCGATTCTCTGCCTGGTTCCAGGGCTCGCTGGGTGCGTTCACGTGACACCTCGCGAGAGCCCCGTGGGTGTAGGTGTCATTGGCTCATTTTACAGGTAGTGGTCCTGGCCCTCTTCTTTCGACCTAGACCTTCTGCCTTAATGATCTCATCCAGTCCCGTGGCTTTAAATGACATTTATATGGCTATGAGCCCCAGGTTTGTATTTCCGGAGCGAACAGCTTCTCTGAGTTCCAGACTCATAGCCAGCTGCCCACTCTGCGCATCCAGTGGGTGTCAGATGGGCACTGCAGAGGACTCGGCCCAAAAACCCGCTCCTGATCGTCAGCCCTACCTCTGCTCCCTTGCCACCCCATCTCAGCTGCTCAAGCCAAAACCTTGGAGCCTGGCTCCATCCCTCCCTCTCCCTTCCTCCCCACCTCAGGACTCAAGCTAGCGGTGTCTCCAGGTCTCCTGCATAGGACCATTTCTCACCACCTCCAGTCATGGCACCTGGTCTCGGCACCATCAGCTTACCCGGACAATGGCAGCAGCCTCCGAGGCTCCCTACTTTGCCTCCAAAGTCTTTCTTTCTATACCAGCCAATGTTCTTCTCAAAACAAAGCTCAGGTTGTTTACACACCTTCTTTGGCCACTCTCTCCTCATCCACTGCTCTTCGGCCACAGTGCCCTTCTTTCTGTCCCCCAAACATACCAAGCTCATTCCTGCGACAGGCCCTTGGCACTGGCTGTCTGGTCTTCTGTTCACTTGCCTGACTCTTTCTCATCTTTCACGTCAGCCCGGATGTCACTGCCTCAGAGAGACATTTCCTGACCACCCTGGTTAAAGCAGTCTTCACCTCTGAATTTTTTTTTTTTTTTCGAGACAGGGTCTCACTCTGTCACCCAGGCTGGAGTGCAGTGGCACAATCTCGGCTCACTGCAACCTCCTTCTCCTGGACTCCAGCCATTCTCCCACCTTAGCCTCCCAAGTAGCTGGGACCATAAGCACACACCACCATGCTAGGTTCATTTTTTGTATTTTTTTTTTTTTTTTTTTTTTTTTTTTTTTGTAGAGACAGGGTTTTGCCATGTTGCCCAAACTGGTCTCAAACTCCTGGACTCAGGCAATCCACCCACGCTGGCCTCCCAAAGTAATGGGATTACAGGCGCAAGCCACCGCACCCAGCCTTGAAATTTGTTCTTATATTATCTTAATACTTCTGTAGGGTGTTTCATCATTTATGTATGTGAGTGCTGGTTATTGTCTGTCTTCCCCAACCAGAATGTATGTTTTATGAAGGCAGGCCTTGCTTCTTTTTCTTTTTCTTTTTTTTTTTTTGAGACAGAGTCTCACTCTGTTGCCCAGGCTGGAGTGCAGTGGCATAATCTTGGCTCACTGCAACCTCCGCCTCCCAGGTTCAAGGAATTCAGCCCCCCAGTAGCTGGACTACAGGTGAGTCACCATGCCCAGCCAGGCTGGTTTTGAACCCCTGACCTCAGGCCACCCACCTCGGCCTCCCAAAGTGTTGGGATTGCAGACATGAGCCACTGCGCCTGGCCAGGCTTATCTTGTTCACCACTGCCTGCCCAGTGCCTGGAGTAGTGCTTGGCACATAGTAGGCCCACAGTAAATACATGTTGAAGGAATACATGACTGGAGGCTCAGAGAGGTGAAGGTGACTTTCTAAATTCACTCAGCTAGGAAGTACAAGCACTGGAATTGGTATCCAGGTCTGAATGATTCCTGGCCCAGATGTTTGGGGGTACATCGCAACCAGGGGAGGAGGGCCACATAAACATGAGGGGTGTGCGCCGTGGTGGGAAGCCCCACCCAAAAGAGATGGCTTTGGAGGCCACGTGCGGGGTGGATGTTGCTGTTCATCCCCTGCTTTCCTTTGCTCATGATGTTCCCACTGCCTGAAATTCCATCGCTCCCACAGTCCCTCCTGTGAAGCCGACATCATGGCACTTACTCCACTGTGGAGGGCATAGGGCCTCTCCAAATGGGTAGGCCTCTATGTGGCACCCTGATCACCAGTAAGGATCCCCACTTTCCTTTTTTTTTTTTTTTTTTTGAGCCGGAGTCTCGCTGTGTTGCCCCAGGCTGGAGTGCAGTGGCGCGATCTCAGCTCACTGCAAGCTCCACCTCCCGGGTTCACGCCATTCTCCAGCCTCAGCCTCCCGAGTAGCTGGGACTACAGGCGCCCGCCACCGCGCCCTCCTAATTTTTTTTTTTTGTATTTTTAGTAGAGACGGGGTTTCACCGTGGTGTCGATCTCCTGACCTCGTGATCCACCCGCCTCGGCCTCCCAAAGTGCTGGGATTACACGCGTGAGCCACCGCGCCCAGCCCCCCACTTTCCTTGATGTAGCAAATTCGATTTCAGCGCCCTTGTCTTGCTTTCCTGCCTCTGTGCCTTGGTCCACCAGACACTATGGCTTCTTTCCGTTCCCTCCCACAGGCTGTGGGTTTGGTATGCAAATTGGCCCACTAGTTTCCCAAGTGACCAAATGTTGAGGCAGCTTTGTCTAGCACTCAAAAGGATCTCTAAAAACCAATTGCTCAGTCCTCTCCATGTGCATAGCAGAAAGAGCCACCTAGGTTAACCTTTGGGGTAGGAAAGTTCTCAGTTTTAGAAACTGCACAATGGTGAGTTGTCTATTTTCTCTACCCCCCACCCCCTTTAAAACCAAAACCAAAACAAAACAAAACAGGGTCTTGCCCTGTTGCCCAGGCTGGAGTGCAGTGGCATGATCATAGCTCACTGCAGCCTTGAACTTCTGGGCTCAAGCGATCCTCTCACCTCAGCCTCCCGAGTAGTTGGGACTACAAGTGTGCATCACTGTGCCTGGATAATTTTTCTATTTTTTGCAGAGATGGAGGTCTCACCATATTGCATAGGTTGATCTTGAACCCTTGGCCTCAAGCCTTCCTTCTGCCTCAGCCTCCCAATCTACTCCCTTTTTTATGAGCTTCTCAAGAGCTGGGGCCACACCTGGAACACTGTAGGTGCTCAGCTAGTGAGTGAATTCTCAGTGGACCTGAACAACACTCCTGGACACCATGCTGCCTAGATCCTTTACTCCCATCCCCAGCCTGCCAGAACAAGGGGGTCAGTGCCTCATTATCCACCCTGCAGGGACTGCTTCCCATAGACATAGCTCCCTTTCTGGTCAAGATCAAGGGCCATGGTGCAATGTCCTATTTAAAAGTGGGAGCTCAGGCTGGGCATGGTGGCTCGCACCTGTATTCTCAGCACTTTGGGAGACCGAGGCAGGAGGATCACTTGAGCCCGGAGTTTGAGACCAGCCTGGGCAATATGGCGAAATCTTGTCTCTATTAAAAAAAGAAGAGGAAGAAAAAAAAAAAAGAAATGACCATCAGGCAGCCACCATAGTAATCATGGGTTGCAGCAAGAATCACCAATGGATATGAAAGCTTGATGAGAAAGTATTTACATAGTTTCAAGTTATTTACCCACAAGATGATAATTAATTATGGAAGGAAAAATAATAACTCTGCAGTGGAGAAATTTGGCAGACACAACCTTCGCTAAGTGATCAAAGTTAATATCACCAGTAAGGGGCAAATTGCCACGGAGTTTGTAGATGAGGTAATTACTGCATGGATGCCCAACTTCCTGGCTTCAATGCTTGTCCTGTGGTCATAGAAGAGAATGTGTCCTTGATTTTAGGAAATATACACTGGAGTATTTATTTATTTATTTATTTATTTATTTTTTTGAGATGGAGTCTTGCTCTGTCACCCAGGCTGGAGTGCAATGGTGCGACCTTGGCTCACTGCAACCTCTGCCTCCTGGGTTCAAGTGATTCTCCTGCCTCAGCCTCCTGAGTAGCTGGGATTACAGGCACCCACCATCATGCCCGGCTAAATTTTGTATTTTTGTAGAGACGGGGGTTTCACCATGTTGGCCAGGCTAGTCTTGAACTCCTGACCTCAGGTCATCTGTCTGCCTCGGCCTCCTGAAGAGCTGGGATTACAGGTGTGAGCCACCGTGCCTGGCCCACTAGAGTATTTAGAGGTAAAAGGCATCATGTTTGCAATTTACTCTGACATGGTTCTGAAAATAATACATATAGATAGATAGTGTTATGGGTGGAATTTCATAATGTTAAAATGTGTATGTTGAAGTCCTAATGCCTAAAAATCTCAGAATGTGACTGTATTTGGAGATAAAGTTTTAAAAGGCATAAGTAAATTAAAATATATACGGTAGGCCCTAATCCAATCTGACCAGTGTCCTTATAAGAAAAGAAAATTTGGCCAGGCGCAGTGTAATCCCAGCACGTTGGGACGCCAAGGCAGGCAGATCACTTGAGGTCAGGAGTTTGAGACCAGCCTGGCCAACATGCAAAACCCTGTCTCTACTTAATTAAAAAAAAAAAAATTAGTCGGGAGTTGTGGCACATGCCTATAATCCTAGCTACTCAGGAGGCTGAGGCAGGAGAATTGCTTGAACCTGGGAGGCAGAGGTTGCAGTGAGCCGAGATCACGCCATTGCACTCCAGCCTGGGCGACAGAGCGAGACTGTCTCAAAAAAAAAATTGTTTTTTGAAAGTAGGGACTCTCAAGTCAGCCTGTCGGGTTCAGATCCTGGCCCCACGCCTCATCAGCTGACGTCATCTCCACCCTCTATAAACCGGGCTAATAGTGCCTCCTTTGCAGGCTGTGAAACAACATAATGTGTTTGCACTTATAAGCCTCTGGCACAGCGCTTAGTATATAATAAAAGATCAATAATATCAGGTTAGAGAGAGGAGTCCTCTACAGCAGGGGTCCCCAAATCGCAGGCTGAGGACCAGTACTGTTTGTCCGTGGCCTGTTAGGAACCAGCGGGCTGAGTGAGCGTCACCGCCTGAGCTCCGCCTCCTGTAGGATCAGCACTGGCATTGGAGTCTCATTAGGAGCGTGAACCCTATTGTGAACTGCGCTTTTGAGGGATCCAGGTTGTGTGCTCCTTGTGAGAATCTAACTACGGCCAGATATGCCTGATGACCTGAGGTGGAACAGTTTCTTTTTTTTTTTTTTTTTTTGGAGAGAGTCTCGCTCTATCCCCCAGGCTGGAGTGCAGTGTAGCCATCTTGGCTCACTGCAACCTCCGCCTTTTGGGTTCAACTGATTCTCCCACCTCAGCCTCCCCCAAGTAGCTGGGACTACAGGCACGCGCCACCACGCCCATCTAATTTTTGTATTTTTAGTAGAGACGGGGTTTCACCATGTTGGCCAGGCTGGTCTCAAACTCCTGACCTCAGGTGATCTGCCCCGCTCAGCCTCCCAAAGTGCTGGGATTACAGGCGTGAGCCACCGCGCCTGGCCACTGGAACAGTTTCATCCCGAAACCATCCCCCACCCACACTCCCCACTCTCCACCCCCACCCCACCCTCATCTGTGGAAAAGTTGTCTTCTACGAAATGGTCCCTGGTGTCAAAAGCAGAGGAAATGGACAGAGTGATCAGTTCGCCCAGAGGCCAAGGGACCACACCCTGGATGCCAGGTGTGGTGCTCCCGTGTATCAGGTCACACTCAATCCTCTCCATGTCTTAGCACTTAGCTATTATCATGGCCATGTTGCAGATGAGGAAATCGAGACCGTGGCAGGTGAGGAATCTTGCCCAGTATTGCACAGCTAGTCCCTGGCAGAGAAGGACTTAAACTCAGGCTGGTCCGACTCGAGGGCTGCGCTCTCTCCTGCTGCCCCCGCCGGAATGATTTGCTGGGTTTTGTTCTGGAGAGATTCGATATTTCACGTGGGCCACTTCAGAGTCTGACGA
Source organism: Homo sapiens (assembly GCF_000001405.40). Classification (NCBI taxonomy): domain Eukaryota; kingdom Metazoa; phylum Chordata; class Mammalia; order Primates; family Hominidae; genus Homo; species Homo sapiens. The sequence goes on along the minus strand of NC_000022.11, from coordinate 38,196,069 downwards.
TAATTAGAGCACACGCCATTTCTCCGCGTGGGCACCCCCGGGTGGGATCCTGGAGGAACCTTGTGCCCTCCTCCCCTTCTTCCTCCTCTTCCCTTCCCTCTACTTTGTCAATCCTAAGGCAAACCGGGCAGGGCCTGGCAGAGGGTGACTCTTGACCAGGGCCACTTTCTGCAAATACAAGGGTCCTGAGTCTGGGCTGGAGATGTGATTGTTCAGCAGAGAGAAAAAAGGTTTGAGCAAACCCAAACAATTGGGCCGGGCGCAGTGGCTCATGCCTGTAATCCCAGCATGTTGGGAGGCCAAGGTGGATCACTTGAGGCCAGGAGTTCGAGACCAGCCTGGCCAACATGGTGAAACTCTCGTCTCTACTAAAAAATACAACAATTAGCCCAGTGTGGTGGCATGCGCCTGTAGCCCCAGCTACTCCGGAGGTTAAGGCAGGAGAATCGCTTGAACCCAGGAGGCGGAGGTTGCAGTGAGCTGAGATCTCACCACTGCACTCCAGCCTGGGCGACAGAGCAAGACTGTCTCAAAAAATAAAAATAAAAATAAATCCAAGCAACCCCAGTACCTACTGTTACTGTTTTTGTTTTGAGACGGAGTCTTGCTCTGTCACCCAGGCTGGAGGGCAGTGGCCCGATCTCGGCTCACTGCAAGCTCCACCTCCCGGGTTCCCGCCATTCTCCTGCCTCAGCCTCCCAAGTAGCTGGGACTACAGGCGTATTATTGCTTATGAATCACATTTATGTGCCTAAGAGCTGTCATCTCACAAAATTCTATGAAGTATCTGTATCATCCCCACTTTATAGATGAGGAAACCGAGGCTAGGAGGGCTGAAGCCATTTGCTAAGGGCCCTTCCCACCCACATGTGAATATGAACCTTTCGTCTCCACTTCACCAACACTGGGAGTTTTCATTGTCTAAGCTCTGCTAATTTCCTAGGCAAATGACGTTATTGTATTTAAATTTGCATTTCTCTGAATAGGAATGAGCTTGAACACATTCCCATTTGCTTGTTAACCAGTTGGGTTTTTTCTTCTTTTGTTCGTGTGCTTTGCCTATTTTAGAGAATACATTTTTATGTTTGCAAACTGATATTTTAGGAACCTGAAACAGTACTGCACATGCTCCATTTTTCCCCAGCCCTCCATCATTTTCCCTCTAAAACCTCCCCCCCCTCCCCACCCCCAGCAGCTTCAATATACCTGGAGATGTGCCAGCCCTGGTCTGAGTCCTTTTGTGCCAAGCCTGTAAAACCATCGCTGGGGCACTGCTGCTCCGTGCACTTCACTCCTGCATGCCAGCTGCTCTGGCTTCTGGAGAGAAGCCACCATCGCGACCACAACCACCACTGCAACAACAGCTGCGGTCACGACAAGGTCATCTTCTCCAGTCACAGCCAGATCCTCAGAGCTGCCAGGAATCCCTGGAGTACTCGCCTTTCTCCTTCATCCGCAGGCCTTCATCCTCATCTCCATCGAACCTGCTCTCCTGCCACTTCCAGAGGAAGCAGAGGCCATGTGATAGGCACTGCCTCGACCCTCTGCACCTGCCCTTCCCTCTCCCTCCCAGTCCCTTCAGAGGCTGTCCTTTGTCTTGCCCTAAACCTACCTCTCCTCCTTCCAGAATCCCCATGCCCACACCCCAGTCCCCATCCCCTCCCTCTGAAGCAAATGGCTTCAGCCCTCCTAGCCTCGGTTTCCTCATCTATAAAGTGGGGGTGATACAGATACTTCATAGAATTTTGGGAGATGACAGCTCTTAGGCACATCAACGAGATTCATAAACAATAATAACAGTAGGTACTGGGGTCGTCTGGATTTTTTTTTTTTTTTTTTACTGAGACAGTCTCGCCCCGTTGCCCAGGCTGGAGTGCAGTGGCAAGATCTCAGCTCACTGTAACCTCTGCCTCCTGGGTTCAAGTGATTCTCCTGCCTCAGCCTTCTAAGTAGTTGGGGCTACAGGCACCTGCCACCACACTGGAGATGGGACTGAAATGTCTCCAAGTGGCTGTCATCTCTAGCAGCCACCCCTGAACCCCACCTTTCACTCCACCCTCACCCTAACACCCACCCTTGTTTTTTCTTCCCTTTGTGGGCAAACCTCAAGTCATCCCCACTCATTGCCTCTGGGTTCTCACTGCCTCTCATTCCCAATCCCTCACGGGCTGAGGGCTGCCCTCAAGAAACCTCTGAAGGGACTCTGGCCGGGGTCCCAGTGGCCTCTTTGTTACTAAATCCAGGTCCAATTTTAGCCCTAATCTGTCTTGACCTTTGACAGCATGCAATGGTGTTGCAATCTCCCTTCCTTTTAATTTTTTTCCTCTTTTTTTTTGAAATGGAGTCTTGCTTTGTCATCAAGGGTGGAGTGCAGTGTCACCATCTCGGCTCACTGCAATCTCTGCGTCCTGGGTTCAAGCGATTCTCCTGCCTCAGCCTCCTGAGTAGCTGGAATTATAGGTGCCTGCCACCACGACCAGCTAATTTTTTTTTTTTTTTTTGAGACAGAGTCTCGCTCTGTCACCCAGGCTGGAGTGCAGTGGCGTGATCTCAGCAAGTTCTGCTTCCTGGGTTCACGCCATTCTCTTGCCTCAGCCTCCCAAGTAGCTGGGACTACAGGCCCCCGCCACCACGCCCGGCTAATTTTTTGTATTTTTAGTAGAGACGGGGTTTCACCGTGTTAGCCAGGATGGTCTCGATCTCCTGACCTCACGATCCACCCGCCTCAGCCTCCCAAAGTGTTGGGATTACAGGCGTGAGCCACTGCACCCGGCATTTTTGTATTTCTAGTAGAGACAGGGTTTCACCATGTTGGCCAGGCTGGTCTCGAACTCCTGACCTCAGGTGATCCACCCACCTCGGCCTCCCAAAGTGCTGGGATTACAGGCATGAGCTACTGTGCCCGGCCTATTCTTCCCCTCTTTTTGGAAACACTGTTTTCTCCTTGGTGTTTTTGTCTTTGTTTTGAGACAGGGTCTCCCTCCCTTGCCCAGGCTGGAGTGCAGTAGTGCCATCATAGCTCACTGTAACCTTGAACTCCTGGGCTCCAGCCATCCTCCCGTCTCAGCCTCCCGAATAGCTGGGGTTACAGGCATGCAGCCACATGCCTACCTCCCCTTGCCTTCTAAAGCTCAGATTTCCCTCCTATCTTTTCAGCTTTCATCCCTGGCCCTCCATCTTGGCCTCTTAATTCTTAGCGAGGCTCAGAGCTTTAGCCTTTGCCCTCTTTTCTTATTGCTGGGGAACCTTATCCCTACCTCAAGATTTCAGGTGCCACCTGATGTTGAGGACTCCCAGATCTCTATTTTGGGCTCCCAGCTGTCTCTCATGGACCAGATCTGCTTAAGCAACTGCATGGATGACATGTATTTTCCCCTGCCCTTCCCTGGCACGTCTAACTCCACGTTGTCTCAGTGGAGCTTAGCGCCACCCTCCCCACCTAATTTCTCCAACAGGTTGATGATGCCACCTCCTCCCCAGTCACCCTGGAGAGAAACCAGGCCATCATGCTCACCTCACCCTCTCCCTCCCTCCCACAGCAAACAAGTCACCAGGCTTCAGTGATCTCATCTCCTTAACTTCTCTCCAGCCTCTCTCTTCCCTCAGCCATGGCCTCTGTTCAAGCCACAGCACCTGGCTCCAGGACAATTGCAGCAGCCTTCTGCCTGGTCCCCCTGCCTCTAGCCTCCATGCAGAGGATAGAGAGAGCTTTCTAAAACCTAAACTTGGCCAGGCTACTGCTCTGCTCACAACCCTTCCATGGCTCCCCAGTGCTGTCAGGACAAAGTGTAAACTCTTTCCATAAGCCTCCTCGATCTGGCCTCTGCCTGCTTCCACCACCTCCTCTCAGCTGCAGCCACCGTGAACTCTGTCCTCATACCCATCATTCTCTTCTACTGCCTCGTGCTTTCAATCTTCCCAGTCCTTCTTCCTGGAACTCCCTCCCCGGCTTGTGCTTCAGTCCCCAGCTCAGATGCCACTTTGTTCAGCAGGCTTCCCAGATCATCCCCAGGCTGACTCAGGTTCCTGTGTACAAGGTAGGAAACCTACCAGTGTATCCCTCATGATAGCACTTTCCTCTCTGACTCGGTGTTCTGTGTCTTCATGGCTGTCTTCTCTTAACCCACATGCTTTTTGAGGACCAGGATTACATCCTTTCATTTTTGTGTCTCCAGAGCTTTGCCCGGGCCATGGCACATAGCAGAAGCATGATCAATGTTTTTCTTTCTTCTTTTCTTTTTTTCTGAGACACAGTCCTGCACTGTCACCCAGGCTGGAGTGCAGTGTCGTGATCTCGGCTCACTGCAACCTCTGCCTCCTGAGTTCACGCGATTCTCACGCCTCAGCCGCCCAAGTAGCTGGGATGACAGGCGTGCATCGCCACGCCTGGTTAATTTTTTTTTTTGTATTTTTTATTTTAGTAGAGATGGGGTTTCACTCTGTTGGCTAGGCTGGCCTCGAACTCCTGGCCTCAATGATTTGCCTGCCTCAGCTTCCCAAAGTACTGGGATTACAGGCGTGAGCCACCATGCCCTGCCTAGGCCACCGTGCCTACGCTGGGAGCATGATGAATGTTAATGGGATGAATGGAGGAGTTGTCCTTGTTCCACTGGGCCTTGTCCTAGGCTCAAGCAAGAGGGTCAGGCTGTGGCGAGACAGGGAGGAAGGAAGAGAGTATCATTAGTTTCTAAGAACAGGGGTCCCTAACCCCTGGTCTGGGTCGATGGCCTGTTAGGAACTCGGCTGCACGGCAGGAGGTGAGCGGCGGGCGGGTGAGCGAGTGAAGCTTCATCGATATTTACAGCATATTTACAGCCGCTGCCCATTGCTCACTCACATTGCCACCTGAGCTCCACTTTCTCTCAGATCAGCGGCGGCATTGGATTCTCATAGGAGCTCAAACCCTATTGTGACTTCGCATGCGAAGGATCTAGGTTTTGCATTCCTTATGAGAATATGATGATCTGTCTGCCTGATGATCTGTCACTGTCTCCCATCACCCCCAGATGGGACCATCTAGTTGCAGGAAAACCAGCTCAGGGCTCCCACTGATTCTACATTGTGATGAGTTGTATAATTATTTCATTATGTATTACAATGTAATAATAATAGAAGTAAAATGCACAATCAATGTAATGGACTTGGATCATTCCCAAACCATCCCCCGGCTCCGTGGAAAAACTGTCTTCCACAAAACCAGTCCCTGGTGCCAAAAAGGTTGGGGACCTCGGTCCTACAATGTCCTTTGGCTCCCTGACAGTGGGGACTGTGTTTATATCACTGATTGCCCTCATGCCCTGTGTAACGCTATGGCAGGGCAGCCAAACACGGATTGATTCTCTGGAGATCCCTGCAATTCCGTTTCATTACCATTGCATCCTGGGGGCACAGTGATTCAGCCTACTCATGAATGTGTGATTTGCAGTAGAATTTCAGGAGCCCCTGGGACATAAAAGAGGATTATCAGGGCTGGGTGTGGTGGCTCACACCTGTAATACCAGGACTTTGGGAGGCCAAGGCAGGAGGATTGCTTGAGCCCAGGAGTTCAAGACCAGCTGGGGCAACATAGCAAGCCCCATCTCTACAAAAAAAATTTTTTTAAATTAACCAGGTGTGGTGGTGCTCTCCTGTGGTTCCAGCTACTTGGGAGGCTGAGGTGGGAGGATTGCTTGGGCCCAGGAAATGGAGGGTGCAGTGAGCCACGTTTGAGCCACTGCACTCCAGCCTGGGTGACAAAGCAAGACTCTGTCTCAAAAAAAAAAAAAAAAAAGGTAGGGGCTGGGCACAGTGGCTCACCCCTGTAATCCCAGCACTTTGAGAGGCTGAGGTAAGCAGATAGCTTGAGGTCAGGAGTTCAAGACCAGCCTGGCCAACATGATGAAACCCCATCTCTACTAAAAATACAAAAATTAGCTGGGCTTGGTGGTGGGCGCCTGTAATTCCAGCTACTCGGGGAGGCAGAGGCAGGAGAATCGCTCGAACCCGGGAAGTGGAGGTTGCAGAGAGCCGAGATCATGCCACTGTACTCCGGCCTCGGCGATGGAGCAAGACTCTATCTCAAAACAATAAAAAATAAATAAAAAGTATTTTGGGGTGATACACACATTCAGACCATAGAACATGCGATGATATGGAAAAATATATTTGCCTTTATATTCCAGTGCTTTTTCACAATAAACTATTATCTGTATATCTGAGACAAGTTTGTATTAAATTGTGAGCCCCAAGGACAAGAATAGAGATGTCTTTAGTGTCCCCACCATACTAAGAGTAAGGCCGGCCAGGCATGGTGGCTCATGCCAGTAATCCCAACACTTTGAAGGCCGAGGTGGGCGGATCATGAGGTCAAGAGATTGAGACCATCCTGGCCAACATGGTGAAACCCCGTCTCTACTAAAAATACAAAAATTAGCCGGGTGTGGTGGCACGCGCCTGTAGTCCCAGCTGCTCAGGAGGCTGAGGCAGGGGAATCTCTTGAACCCAGGAGGCAGAGGTTGCAATGAGCTGAGATCGCGCCACTGCACTCCAGCCTGGCAACAAAGCGAGACTTTGAGTCAAAAAGAAGAAAAGAAAAGAAAAAGAGTAAGGTCATGCACATAGCAGGTATTTCATAATTAATGGCTGACAAAACATAAATGAGGACGAGAAGCACAAGAGAAGGGACAAAGGGATTAAGAGCTTGCACACTCTGACCCTCAAGAACTCCACATTAGATTCCCCCATCGTGAGAGGCTTGGCACACACCCTGCATCTTTGCCTGAAATACCCCTGCTCAGCCTCTCCAAATCCTCATGTCCTTCGCCATCCTTCACCATCCCTCACCATCCCTAACCATCCCCCACCATCCCTCTCCATCCCTCTCCATCCCCCACCATCCCTCACCATCCCTCACCATCCCTCACCATCCCTCTCCATCCCCCACCATCCCTCACCATCCCTCACCATCCCTCACCATCCCTCTCCATCCCCCACCATCCCCCACCATCCCCCACCATCCCTCTCCATCCCTCTCCATCCCCCACCATCCCCCACCATCCCTCTCCATCCCTCATTATCCCTATCCATTCCTCTCCATCCCTCTCCACCCTTCTCCATCCTTCACCATCCTTCAGGACTCAGGTTTAAGCCAGCTTCCTTGTGAAGCTCCCTGGTTCCCTGTTCCTGAGAACCAGCTTCTCCTCAGCCCGCAGTCTGTCCTGTGAACCCCTGAGCTGGGCTGAGGTCCCCCCAGAGTAGGGAAATCCTGCCCTTCCTGACCAGGCCTGGCTTTTGCCCTTGGGATGGGAACACACTTGGCTGCTGCCTCACAGCTCAGGGTCACCTCCTGAGGAGCCCACTTCCCTCCTGTGGAGGGCACAAGCCCTGATGTCCCACTCAGCAAGTCAGAAGCCATGTAATTAGCATCATCATGCACAGCTGCCGTGTGGGCTCCGCACCCTCCCATCACCTCTCCCAAGGCAGCAGAAGGATTTTTCCACATTGCTTCCTGGCCCCAACCTTCCAGGGCACCCACTGCTTGTGGGACAAGGTCTGCATCCTTGGCCTGGAACTCAAAACTCTTTCTTTTTTTTTCTTTTATATATATTTTTTGAGACGGAGTCTCGCTCTGTTGCCCAGGCTGGAGTGCAGTGGCATGATGTCAGCTCACTGTAACCTCCGCCTCCCGGGTTCAGGCGATTCTCGTGCCTCAGCGTCCCAAGTAGAGTAGCTGGGACTACAGGCACCCGCCACCACGCCCAGCTAATTTTTTGTAGCTTTAGTAGATACAGGAGTTTCACCATGTTGCCCAGCTGGTCACAAACTACTGACCTCAAGTGATCTGCCTGCCTAGCCTCCCAAAGTGTTGGGATTACAGGCGTGAGCCACCGCACCAGCCCTTTTTTTCTTATTTTGAGACAGGGTCTCACTAAGTTGCCCAGGCTGGAGTGCAGTGGCACAATCATAGCTTACTACAACCTCCCTTCCCTTGGGAGGCTGGGGCTCAAGCAATCCTCCTGCCCCAGCCTTCTGAAGTAGCTGGGACTACAGGCATGCACCACCATGCCTGGCTAATTTTTAAAATTTTTGTAGAGATGAGAGTCTCGCTATGTTGCCCAGGCTGGTTTTGAACTCCTGGGCTCAAGCGAGCCAGCCGTTTTGTGCTCCCAAAGTGCTGGGATTAGGGGGAGACTCTTTCTAGATGGCCTCTGGGGACTGTTCTCCTGCTCACACACCAGGTTTCAGCAGTGCTCAACCCCTTGCCGGTCCCCAAACAATCCACACAATCTCATGGTATTGACTTTTGCTCACACAGTTCTTTCCACCTAGAATGTTCTCTTTCCTAATCCAGCCGGCAAACTCCTACTTAACCTTTGACATCCAATTTAAGATCAGTGGTGGGTAAATTTTTTTTTCTGTAAAGGGCCAGAGAGAAATATTCCAGGCTTTGTGGGCCATGAGGTATCTGTCATGATTACTCAATTCTCCCACTGCAGAAAGCAGAAACGTGTGTAAACAAATGGCGTGGCTGTGTTCCAATAACACTTGTTTACAGAAACAGGTGGCAGGCAGGATAGTTTGCCCACTGCTGCTCAAGAATAATCTCACAAAGCTTCCCACAGGAAGGAGTTTGACAATGCCTTCTAGCAATGGCTTACGTATTTTATCGTAACACAAACTTGGACTGTAACGTACCTATAGCTGTGATGATTAAATGGGCTGGTGGTCAGACCATCATCTCTCACCTGGATTTCTTTTTCTTTCTTTCTTTCTTTCTTTCTTTTTTTTTGAGATGGAGTCTCACTCTGTCACCCAGGCTGGAGTACAGTGGCACTACCTCGGCTCACTGCAGTCTCTGCTTCCCGGGTTCAGGCAATTCTCTGCCTCAGCCTCCCGAGTAGCTGGGATTACACGTGCCCGCCACCATGCCTGGCTAATTTTTGTATTTTTAGTAGAGACGGGGGTTTCACCATCTTGGCCAGGCTGGTCTTGAACTCCTGACCTCGTGATCTGCCTGCTTCAGCCTCCCAAAGTGTTGGGATTATAGGCATGAGCCACCATGCCCGACCATGGATTTCTACAATAGCCTCCTCACTGGTCTCCCAGCCTCTGCCTTCCCTTACACTCTATTCTCACTGAACAGACATAAGCTGTTAAAGTGTAAATTCATTCTGGTCACTCCTCTGCTTAAAAACCTCTCATGGTTCCCTATTGCCCTGATATTGAAAGCCAAAGTCTTAAAATGGTTTCCAGTGTCCTACAAGTTCTACTCCCAATATCCTTTTAACCTCAACGTTATTGCCTACTACACCCCCACTGGCTCTCTACTCCAAAACAAAGCTATAATAGCCTCTTTGCTTTTCCTCTTAAAACAAGCCAGGCGGGCTTCTGCCTCAGGGCCTTTGTTCTTGCTCCATCTGGAACACTCTTTTCCTGGTTGTGCACATAGCTCACTCCTTCGCCTCCATCAGGTCTTTATTTAATTATCTCCCTTCTAACGCTTTTCCTGGCCCATCTAGTTAAAACTGTGACCCTCCCCGGTCTCTCCTTCCTGTGTTTACTCCCCAGCATTCCTCACCCTCTAACTCACTATATATTCCCCCAACTTTTTGTTTTGTTTTGTTTTGTTTTGTTTTGAGGCAGAGTCTCCTTCTGTTGCCCAAGCTGGCGTGCAGTGGCAAGATCTTGGCTCATTGCAACCTCTGCCTTCCGGGTTCAAGCGATTCTCCTGCCTCAGCCTCCCGAGTAGCTGGGATTACAGGTGCCAGCTGTCACGCCCAGCTAATTTTTGTATTTTTAGTAGAGACGGGGTTTCACCATGTTGGCCAGGCTGGTCTTGAACTCCTGACCTCAAGTGATCTGCCCGCCTCGGCCTCCCAAAGTGCTGGGATTACAGGCATGAGCCACTGTGCCCAGCTTCCTCCAACTTTTTAATTATAAAAATGTTCAGGCCAAGAACAGTGGTTCATGCCTATAATCCCAGCACTTTGGGAGGCTGAGGCAGGCAGATTGCTTGAGGCCAGGAGTTCGAGACCAGCCTAGGCAACATGGCGAAAAGCAGACTCTACCGAAAAAAAAAAAAAGCATAGTGGCCTGAACCTGTAGTCCCAGCTACTCAGGACACTGAGATGGGAGGATCGCTTGAGCCCAGGAGGCAGAGATTGCAGTCAGCCAAGATCACCCCACTGCACTCCAGCCTGGGTGAGAGAGCCAGACCCTGTCTCCAAAAAAAAAAAAAAAAGAAAGAAAGAAAGAAAAAGTTCAAACACACAGATAATTGGAGGACTAGTGCAAAGGTATTCAAATAGACATGCCCAGATCCCACAGTTAAGGTGCTTTGAATGTAAGATGCTAACATGATGACACCCTCACTCAAAGACATTAGCAAAACACACTCTCTGTTTCCTTCTCTATCTAGTTTATTCTCCGTCTTTCCCCACCAGGATGTGAGCAGCACAAAGGCAGGGATTTTTGTCCATTTTGTTCAGTGCCTGGGATTACACGTGCACCAAGAACACTGCCTGGCACATAATGAGTGCTCCTAGAGTTTGGAGAGAGAAAAGACAAGACAGGTGCTGATTCTGGTTCTGCCTCTCGTTGACACTGGCAACTGGCACTGCCTCTCATTGGCAACTCTGGGGATAATTTTCCCTTGTGGAACCTCATTCTCTTCATCTACAAAGTGGGGATGGCAGTACTATATCACAGGGCTGTTGCAAGGATAAAAAAGTAAGAAGTCGGCTGGGGGTGGTGGCTCACACCTGTAATCCCAGCACTTTGGGAGACTGAGGCGGGTGGATCCCCTGAGGTCAGGAGTTTGAGACCAGCCTGGCCAACTTGGTGAAACCTCGTTTCTATTAGAAATACAAAAATTAGCCAGGCGTGGTAGTGCACGCCTGTAATTCCAGCTACTCGGGAGGCTGAGGCAGGAGAATCAGTTAGAACCTGGGAGGTGGAGGTTGCCGTGAGCCAAGATCGCGCCACTGCGCTCCAGCCTGGGTGACAGAGGGAGACTCTGTCTCCAAAAAAAAGTAAAAGGTGTGATATTGCACTGTTAGCATGTTAGTTAGATTTCCATCTAGCTCCTTGAAGGAAAAGATTAGTCTAGTCTGACCCTCTGTGCTCTGGGCTCTTAGAGGGCAGACGCCCTCCCTGATGTATGGGAGGAGCCTAGCACAACACCTCAGGAGAAGTTCTTTTGACTTTAACTGCTAGCAGCTCCATCTGCTAGCACTACAGAACACACTCCCTCGTGCTTACTTGCCCCATCCCTTTACTTGCTCATTCAATGCTACCTAATAATCCCCTCTATTCCATCTTTTGATTTATCTACTCATTAAATGGTTTCCACCAGAAATACCTAGGGAAGGGATACTTAACTTCATCAGGTACTGAGATTCTATTTTGTGAATGTCTTCTGTGGATCTTTGACTGTTTCCAGCAATTGATCCAGCCTCTCTTGGCCTTTTCTGCATTTTATTATTTATTTATTTATTGAGATGGGGTCTTGCTCTGTCGCCTAGGCTGGAGGGCACTGGTGTGATCTCAGCTCACTGCAACCTCCACCTCCTGGGTTCAAGAGATTTTTCTGCCTCAGCCTCCCCAGTAGCTGGGATTACAGTTGCCTGCCACCACGCCTGACTAATTTTTTTGTATTTTTTTGTAGAGACGGGGTTTCACCATGTTGGTCAGAATGGTCTCGAACTCCTGACCTCAGGTAATCCACCCGCCTCAGCCTCCTAAAGTGTTGGGATTATAGGCATGAGCCACCACACCTGGCCCTTGTCTGCATTTTAGATTCACCTGTGTATCTGCATTTCCAAATGTGCTTTGCAAAATCCTGAATGCAAGGGTGGGTGTTTGTTGAAGAATGGGACACCTCATGTTGCCCCTGTGGGTTTTCTCAGGAAGGAAAGATTGCTTGGCAGTGCGTGGAATGCATGGCCTTTTGCAAGCTCCTTGATAACCATCGCTCTAACTTTGCTTGTTTGGGGTGTGGAGGCAAGATATTTTCATTGAGAATTCTGAGTCTTTATCCTTTTCTCTCCACTTCAAGCTGAAACTTTTTTTTTTTTTTTTTTGAGACATGGTCTCGCTCTGTCACCCAGGCTGGAGTGCAGGCGATCTTGGCTCACTGCATCCTTGACCCCCCGGCCTCCCCTGCACAGTAGCTGGGACCAAAGGCATGCAAGACCACACCTGGATAATTTTTGTATTTTTTTTAAAGACGAGGTTTCTCCATGTTGCACAAGCTGGTCTTGAACTCCTGAGCTCAAGTGATCTGCCCACCTCGGCCTCCCAAAGTGTTGGGATTACAGGCGTGAGCCACTGTGCGCAGTCAAGCTGAAACTCTTAAGCAAATTTTAAATCTTACTTTAAGGAACAATTTCCTCACCTGTAAAATGGGGACACGAGGATATGATGGAAGTGAAGTCACTTTGTAACTGGTAAAGCTCTGTACAGATATTAGTTAAGATGGTTAATTTCATTAACCTGTGAAGATTCTTAACTAAACCTTGCGCAAGTTGCATTGGCTGCCCTGTCTAGGCACTAATATCTTTAGACGGACTAAGGAGGAAACACACTTTTTTTTTTTTTGAGACAGAGTCTGGCTCTGTCACCCAGGCTGGAGTACAGTGGCATGATCTTGGCTCACTGCAACCTCTGCCTCCTGGGTTCAAGCAATTCTCCTGCCTCAGCCTCCTGAGCAGCTGGGACTACAGACTATGGCCAGCACACCCAGCTAATTATTTGTATTTTTAGTAGAGATGGGGTTTCACCATGTTGGTCAGGCTGGTCTCAAACTCCTGACCTCAAGTGATCCACCCGCCTCAGCCTCCCAAACTGCTGGGATTATAGGCGTGAGCCACCGCACCCGGCCTACACGCTTCTTTTCACAAGAATGACACCCGCAACTATACTTCCCACGTAAATGGAGAGCAGTCTGGCAGATTCATCTAGACCTAGGGTTGGGTGATTATTAGGGAAAGAAAAGGTCCAACCAAGCCAGTGGGCTGAAGAGAGGACATGACCTGCTCAGTCCGAAGCAGATGTGTGACTAAAGTCTAGTCTCCTGGCTTCTCTGCAAAATACCTCATTATCGGCATTATTAACCCTAACAACTGCCATTTATTGAAATCCCACTATGTGCACGAATGGGGACCAATTTACTTCTAGATATTACAACAATCTTGTATTACTGTGCCCACTTCCTGGATGATGGGTCTGAGGTTCACAGAGATCATTTGCCCAAGTTCCTACTGAAAGTGCTAAGGTATTTCCTGAGACTGGCTCAGGGTGTGTTGCCAGACAACAATGCACACATTTTTAACACAATACTAAACTTAGTATATTATACTTATGTTAAAAATTTCGGAGCCGGGCGTGGTGGCTCACGCCTGTAATCCCAGCACTTCGGGAGGCTGAGGCGGGCAGATCACTTGAGGTCAGGAGTTCGAGACCAGCCTGGCCAACATGGTGAAACCCCGTCTCTACTAAAAATACAAAAAATTAGCTGGGCGTAGTGGCGGGCGCCTGCAATCTCAGCTACGCGGGAGGCTGACGCAGGAGAATCGCTTGAATCCGGGAGGCGGAGGTTGCAGTGAGCGAGATCGTGCCACTGCACTCCAGCATGGTCGACAGAGCGAGACTTGTCTCAAAAAAAAAAAAAAAAAGGACATGTGGTAATTCCCCTAGGGAATTTGGCCTTAGTTGTGAAAAATAAAAAAGCTATAATCAATTTCTGTTCTATCGGAAAAAAATGTATTGGCTGTTTAGCTGAAATTCAAATGTAACTTAACATCCCGTATTTTTTATATGCTACATCTGGCAACCCTGGCTTGAGGCTACCTGGCAAAAATCAAAACAGGTTCCTCCTTGTTATGCCCTATGCCTCTGTTGCCTTTATTTTTATCTTTACGAGCAATCATTAACAGTAACTTCAGACTCCAGGCTCTGGTCGCTTTAGGAGGCGGAAGGCGGACTAGGGTAGGACTCCTGGCCCTCATCAACAGGACTGCCAAGAAGCCGGGCACCTTCTGCCCCGCACAAACATGGCCGCGCCTCGCCGCCGAGGATTGGCTCCCGCCGAAAGCTCGTCCTCCTGGCTAAGGGAGCCCCTTCCATTGGGCAGTTAAAAAAAATGGCGGACCCCGCCTCCCGCCGTCCTCGGGCGCGGGGGCGGAGCCTAGAGGAGGCCTGGGACAGGGCCACCAGTGATTGGCGGAGAGCGGTGGTCAGGCCATCACGTGGCCCGAGGCCCGTTTGTTTGCGGAAGTAGGAGGAAGTAGAAGTGCTGAGTAAGCCGAGGTGAGTGACCTCGCGGGTGGGCGGGGCCTGGGGGTCCGTTCCCCAACTTCCTCGGCGCTCCGGACTCCCAAGTCTCCGCCGGACCCTCCTTTGGATATTCCTCGTGTCTCCGATTCTGAGGCATGTCCTCCATTAACCCTTATGTGACTCCCTGAGTGCCCCCACCTTCCATCTTTTCATCCCCCTGCGTCCCCAATTCCCATCCCGAGACCGCCCGTGTCTCATCTCGAACTTGTGGACCCCAGGGACCCCAGCTTCGACCCTGAGTTTCTCCCCTGAACCCCAGTCTCCTCCGTGTGTCTCCCTCAGTATCCCTAACTTCCCGAGTCAATCCATCTCTTCTCTTTCCCCGACCCTCAGTGCCTCTTTAGGCCCCATTGGCCGTCCTAATTTTCCTTCCTGTGCTCCTCTAAGTGCTCACTTGATTCCCCACTTCACGTCCGTCTCCACCTTTCGTGGTGCCTCTACTCATTTCTCACTCCCTGCTTCTCCTGCCTTTCCTCCCTGCTTTTTTTCCTTGCCTTTCCTCTCTCGCGTGCCTCCAGACCTGCCCCCGACATGCTCCCTCCTTCCCCTCAGCCTGGCCACCCCAGAGTCTCCCACCCCTAATCCTGTGTCCACCTCCTGCTCCCACAGATGACTTGGAAGCTGGTGACAGGGAGCATGTGACCAGGGTGATCATGGGACTGGGTCGGGGCAAGCCTGTGGGTGTGGGACAGGGAGGGCACAGGGCAAGGGGACCTGTGGCCGTATTTTTAATGGGCTACCCACATGACCCCAACGAATACCTCCCCCTAGCTTCTGGGTCTTTCCCTCACCTGCCTCTTACCCGCCCAACAGGATGTCAGGCAGGTTCGGTTTGGCAACGTTGAGGCTGCACCCTTGGGCTGAATGCATTGTTTTTGAATGCATTGTTTTTGTTAGAGTTTCTGCCTGGAGTTTGGAACCTGTTTTCTGTCCAAGTCTCAGTTTCCTCATCTGTGACAGGGGAACTGTACCTCCTGCCCTCGTAAGTCTGCCATGAGGTTCAAAATTTGAATGAGAAAATGTAGAAGGTAAAGCTTTATAACCAGTATGGCCCTGTACAAATACATGATTTTACTGTTGGGTCATAGGCAGAATTGAAAGGAGTGGAAAGGGAAAGGGCTAGAATGAGAAGACAAGGAGAGAAGGATGAGCAGGAGGTCCCTTGTCTTTCAGTGTATCATTTGGCAGTGTTTGTTCATCACCTCTTGTGAGTCAGGCTCTTCTGTATATGTTCTCTTCACCATTCATTCAGTCATCGTTTATCTAACAAATATTTACGGACTGTCTGATGTTCTAGGCTACCCTTGGTGTGGCCAATGATATTCTCACTTCACATGAGAAAAAGAGGGCGCATGAGTTGCTTGAGGTCACACCGATGAGGTTGAAGCTGGAATCTGACACCAGAGCCTGTGTGATTGTCCTGATGTGTAAGGTTTGCTACTGTTTAGGACACTTCTTGTTCCTTCCGTGGATTACTTTCTTGTTACATGAGAGACTCCCCAAAAGGGAGTTTCCCTCTTACTCAGCAGAATGACATCACTAAGAGATACAGAAAGGAGAAATTTAAATACTCTGTGTGTGTGTGTGTGTGTGTGTGTGTGTGTGTGTGTGTGTGTCTGCAGACATCTATTGGGTGTGTGTGCTGGGGGAAGTAGGTAGGCAAGGAGTAAGGGGCCGTAGTGAAGAGTGTGTTACAAACTTCACTTTGTAGAGGGTGGCTCCCTGGGAGAATATGTTCTGTGTCTTTCACAGTGGATTTTGATAGGGTCATGTCTTAAATGCCTCTTCTCGTTTTCGGATGGTGATCTCATCCAGTCTTATTTCTTTAAGTGCCGTCTCTATTCTGTCAGCCCACAAATTTATATCCCCAGTCCAGTCCAGACCTTTCCCTGGAATGACATACTCAAATCTAGTTGCTTACTCAGCACCTCAAACTTAGGCTTTTCAAACTTGAAGTATTTATTTATTGATTTATTTATTTTTTGAGACAGAGTCTCACTCTGTCACCCAGGCTGGAATGCAATGGCACGATCTCGGCTCACTGCAACCTCCACCTCCTGATTCTCCTGCCTCAGCCTCCCAAGTAGCTGGGATTACAAGCATGCGCCATCATGCCCAACTAATTTTTGTATTTTTGTAGAGGCGGGGTTTCACCGTGTTGGCCAGGCTGGTCTCGAACTCCTGATCTCAAGTGATCCACCTGCCTTGGCCTCCCAAAGTGGTGGGATTACAGGTGTGAGCCACCGCGCCAGGCCTCAAACTTAAGAGTTTAGAATTGAGCTCCTGTTAGTTCTGCCCTCCATCCCTGACCCCACTCTTCACCAAAACATGTCCCTCCCACTCTCTTTCTCATCTTAGGACATAGGAGTATTGTTCATTCAGTTGCTCAGGTCAAAGCTGTGAGATTATCTATGATGCCTCTCTGTTTCTTACCCCACACCCAGCCAGAGTGATCTTGTTAAAATGTTGTTTCTTTGCAGTGGCCTCTCCTCTCATGGCACATGCCTGGCCCCCTGTTGCCTCTCTGATGTCACTGGCTTCCTTGCTTTTCCTGGAACTCGCTAAACATGTTCCAGCCCCATGGCCTTTGCACACGCTCTCTTTGCCTAGCTATTCATATGACTTTCATCTCTCTCCATCAGGTATTTATTTAAGATCAATTTCTTGGTGAAGACTTCTCTCCTCACCCAATCTAAAATTTCACTCTCCACCTCAGCACTTCCTATCCCCATTCTCTGGTTTTTCTCCTCAGTAGTTAATTGTCATCTAAAACCTTTGTAAATATTTACCTGTTTATCTTCTTTATTATTAGTAGCTCTGTCTAAAATATAAGTTCCAGGATGTCAGGGATTTTGTGGGGTTTTTTTTGGTTGGTTGGTTGTTTTGGTTTTGAGACAGGGTCTCACTCTGTTGCCCAGGCTGGAGCGCAGTGGTGCGATCTCAGCTCACTGCAGCCTCCGCCTCCTGGGTTTGAGTGATTCTCCCACCTCAGTCTCCCAGGAAGCTGGAATTACAGGTGCACGCCACCACACCCAGCTAATTTTTGTATTTTTTGGTAGAGATGGGGTTTCACTATGTTGGCCAGGCCGGTCTTGAACTCTTGACCTCAAGTGATCCACCCGCCTCGGCCTCCCAAAGTTCTGGGATTACTGGTGTGAGCCACCGCGCCCGGCCTTGTTTTGTTTTAAGACAGGGTCTCACTGTCGCTCAGGCTGGATTGCAGTGGCACAATCACAGCTCACTGCAGCCTCGACCTGCTAGACTTAAGCAATCCCCCCACCTCAGCCACCTTAGTAGCTGGGACTTACAGGCATGAGAGATACCATGCCTGGGTAATTGTTAAGTTTTTGTAGAGGTGAGGTCTCACTATATTACCCAGGCTGGTCTCAAAGTCCTGAGCTTAAGTGATCCTCCTTCCTTGGCCTCCTAAAGTGCTGGGATTACAGGAGTGAACTGCCGTGCCTGACCAGTCTGTTTTGTTTACGATTGTATCCTCAGCGGTTAGAACAATGCCTGCCACAATCCATCTCAGTAAATATTTGTGGAGTGAGTCATAACATGGGCCACACTGTACCGTGCCACCAGCCCAAAGATCTCTTAAAGTCACCCCTGTCTCATGTGCTTGGGAGCTCCAGTGACAGTTTCGGGGCAGTTTGCTTCCAGCTGTGGTCCAGCCAAGCGGAGTGAATGAAAGAGATGCTTTTTCCTTTTGTGAAAGGACGTTTTGCTCTGGCTCACGTGAGCAGCAGTGCATTTTGAGACGAGGGCCTTGGCTTTTGGAATCTAAGAGCCTGTTGAGCAAGCCTCGCTCAGCCACCTTCTTTCAGCTTTCTCCTGAAGGCAGTTTGAGGATTAAGAGCCTGATGCTCTGGATTCCACCTAATTGGGTTCAGATCCTGGCAAACTGTGTAACCTGTGCCCCAGTTTCCTGTGTAATGTGGAGAGACCTGGACCTTTTCTTACAGGTGTTTGGAGGGTTAAATGTGGCAATTCGGCCGGGCGCAGTGGCTCATGCCTGTAACCCCAGCACTTTGGGAGGTGGAGGTGGGCGGATCACCGGAGGTCAGGAGTTCAAGACCAGCCTGGTTAACATGGTGAAACCCCGTTTCTACTAAAAATACAAAAAATTAGCCGAGTGTGGTGGTGCGCGCCTGTAATCCCAGCTAGTCTGGAGACTGAGGCAGGAGAATCGCTTGAACCCGGGAGGCAGAGGTTGCAGTGAGCCAAGATCACGCCATTGCACTCCAGCTTGGGCAACAAGAGTGAAACTCTGTCTCAAAAAAAAAAAAAAAAAAAAAGTGGCAATTTACCCGAAACTGTGGTGAAGCGTCTGGCGCCCTGTGGGTGCTGGGCAGCAGTGGGTGCTGATGGGGTGTGAGGGGATGGGATCAAGCCCTTTCCCACTAACTTAGGAAAGAGGTTGGAATGAGCTGGGGTCAGAGGGAACATTTGCGGGGACATTTTGCCGGGAGGCTGCCTTGGAGGTTCAGAGGCTCAGATGACCCCTGTGTTCATTCAGTGTTTTCTCACCCACAGATTGAGCACCTGCTGTGTGGCCAGCCCTTTGCCTAGTGCTGTTCAAGAGTCAGAGGACATAGGCAGGCAATCCCCCACCACAACCTGCCACCCCATTTCCTCTCTTGGGGCCTTGATTTCTCCACATGCCAAACAGGGAGAATGATTGCACCTTCCTTGTTTCTTTTTTTTTTTTTTTGAGACAGTCTCACTTTGTCATCCAAGCTTTAGTGCAGTGGCATGATCTCGGCTCACTGCAGCCTCTGCCTCTCGGGTTCAAAGATTCTCCTGCTTCAGCCTCCCAAGTAGCTGTGATTATAGGCACCCACCATCACGCCAGGCTAATTTTTTTTGTAGTTTTAGTAGAGATGGGGTTTTTTTCTCACACGTTGGCCAGGCTGGTCTTGAACTTCTGACCTCAGGTGATCTGCCCATCTCACCCTCCCAAAGTGCTGGGATTACAGGTGTGAGCCACCGCGCCCGGCTGCGCCTTCCCTGTTTCTTTGTGAGCTTGGAGGTGGATCACAAGTGTGAAACCCTTTGCCAACCGTGAGGCATGGTGGCCTTGTGAGAGGACGGAGGCCGGTGTGTGGTGGCATGCTCCCGTGCTGTGTGGCACAGACGGAGCTACAGGAAGGAAGTTGGGGCAGCTTGGCACTCTGAGTGGACCCTGAGTTTCCAGCCTGCTCTGTCTTGACTGGGTGGGAGGAGGGTGCTCAGGAGGGTGTCACTGCTGCCAGGTTCTGCTGCCAGGACCATCCAACAGTTGTTCCAATCATGGGACATCCTGTCGTCAGCAGCTGGGGCTCGTGAGGCCTGATTTCCACCTCGGGCAGTTCTGTGTGTGCTCCTGGAATCCCCCACGTGGCCAAGCCTGTGAGGTCTGCTTCCTGGCCTGCTGCCTGTGGGTTCCTGTCACGCACCTCTCGGGCAGCTGTCCGGCTCCTCTGCTCTCGGCTTAGTCAAGAAGGAAGCAGAAGGCTTGGAGTCTTTCCTGCTTGGACTAGGAGTGAGCTCAGCCTAAGTGCCCTGACTATATATAAAGCTGAACTTTCCAGACCGAAGCCTGGGGATGGATCAGTCCGATCACTTAGGGCCGCTCCTGAAGGAGTGCAGGTGCTAGATACAGGTTCTCCCGGTGGAGGAGCGAACCCCTTGTGGGCCGTTAGCTACTGGTGGGATTTGAGCATGGTATTTCCCTATCCGTTGTGGAGAGGAGCATGGCAGCTCAGAGTGGGTGGGAACAGTGTGTGGTCCCTGTTATCACCTTCAAGGGAATAAAGTGTGTCTGGGGGCTTCAGAGGTGCTGGCCCCATGGGCTTATAGGTGGTTCATTCATTCATTCTCATTCATTCATTCACCAAACTTATTAAACACCCACTGTGAGTCAGGAACATCATGCCAGGTGCTTAGGGAAACAAATCAAAGCGGGTTGGGTGAGCAGCCCAAGCCAACAGATGCACCCCCATTCTCACATGGTGTGTGTTCCTGTGGGCTGGGCCCTGGGTGGTGTGGGGTGCTGGGGAGAAGAGGAAGGCACACCAGGCTGCAGGGCGGAGGTGCGGGTATGAATTTTCAGAGGAGATGGCACCTGAGCTGTATCTTCATGGATAAGAAGAGATTTGTTCATTTGTCCTTTGTGGAGCACACATTCAGGTTAAGAAAGTGGGGAGGATGGGCTACGCTGATGGAGCGTATGTGTGGTATCCCCAAGTGCACTGAGACACGAGTTTGACGTGTTCTGGGAAGATCGATGGTGCGGCGTGGCTGGAGTAGAGGTGAGGGATGAGTTGGAGGGGTGAGTTGGGCCAGCTCTCATGGATGCTGGAGTCTGGGCTTTCCCTGGGAGGTCATGGGGCGCCACTGGCCAGGGTCAGCAGGGAGACCTGCAGCTGGATTTGCATCGTACAGTGGGCATGGAGGGGTGTCAGGCTGGGTTGGGAACCGTGCAGGCTGGAAGGGCACTCTGGTGCTCTGAGCATTCAGAGGGGGCAGCTGGGCCTTGAAGGATGAGCAGGGGCTCCAGCAGGAACTGGAGAGCGCATTCCAGGGAGGACGCAAGTGCAGGCCCCTTTCACTACAGAAAAGCAGTTTTCACACAGACCTTCCAAAGGGGAGGAGAGGGGACTGCCTGGGCCTGGCAGCTGCGGCAGGTAGCAGCAATCAGAGGGCAGGGACCGCTCCTCCCGTGCCTGAGACCTGCCCAGGGTCCTTCAGGGAATTCGTAGCTGAGGAGGAACCAGATTTTTGGGACTGAGTTCTCCCTCACCACCCGCTCTGAGCCACCCTCTTGGTCCCTTGTCCTCTACTGCACTTCTTCCGGGGCTTGGCTCCTCGTCATGAGAGGAGCTTCCCTGGGCATGGCGAGGGGCGTGACTGACATAGCAGCCCTGGACAAGTGGCTCCAGGTGACCTGTGTTCACGTTGATCACAGCACTAACCACGGCCCCTCCTCTCAGCACCTTCCCCTCTCGAGCCGTCCAGTCCCAGTGAAAATGCTCACCGTTCATGGGTGGGCTGAGCAAGCCCCTGATCTCTGCCTTCCTCCGTGTTCTGATCTGCTTCATCTGCTGTGAAGGCCTCTCGCCATTTCCCCCGCTGGCAAACTCCTGTTCTTCCTGGAAAGTTCAGCTAAAAAGTCATCCCCTTTAGGGGTCCTTCCCTCAGGGGACCGTGCACTTGGCGAGACAGGGACTGGTCTTGGGTCTCTCTGTTGACTGTTTTATGAACCCAGGTAGTCACTTCCAGGGAACTCATCAGAGATGCTACCATTGGCTCCAATCTCCCTCTGTTCCCACTCGAGGTTTTTTGTTTCTTCGTTTGTTTTTCTTTCTTTCTTTTTTTTTGAGACAGAGTCTCGCTCTCGCCCAGGCTGGAGTGCAGTGACATGATCTCGGCTCACTGCAAGCTCCGCCTCCCGGGTTCACGCCATTCTCCTGCCTCAGCCTCCCGAATAGCTGGGACTACAGGCACCCGCCACCACGCCCAGCTAATTTTTTTTGTATTTTTAGTAGAGACGGGGTTTCACCATGTTAGCCAGGATGGTCTCAATCTCCTGATTTCGTGATCCGCCCGCCTTAACCTCCCAAAGTGCTGGGATTACAGGCGTGAGCCACTGCGCCCAGCCCGTTTGTTTTTGTTTTTTGGTGGACATCAACTTTAATTTGCCCTTTGTTTTGTTTTGTTTTTGAGGCAGGGTCTTGCTCTGTCTCCCAGGCTGGAGTGCAGTAGTGCAATCTTGGCTCACTGCAGTCTCGACCTCAAGAGGATCAAGCAATCCTCTTGCCTTAGCCTCCCGAGTAGCTGGGACCACAGGCGCACACCACCATGCCCAGCTAATTTTATTTTATATTTTGTAGAGACAGGGTTTTGCCATGTTCCCCAGGCTGGTCTCAAATTCCTGGGCTCAAGCAATCCGTCTGCCTCAGCCTCCCAAAATGCTGGAATTACAGGCACGAGCCACTGTGCCCGGCCTTAATTTGCCCTTTGAACATGTACAATTCAGGGCCTCTCTGGGCCTCAGTTTCTTGATCTCTGAGATGGGAAGATGGGATAATAATACTTGTTCCTCCCGTCCTTCAGCTCCTCCAGGGGACCCTCACACCAGCACACTCTCTGTCAGTCTTCCCTCAATGAACCCAGCAGGCAAGCTTGGTTTTGACAGAGGATGGGTGAGCAGAGATAAGGAAAACGGCCAGAAATATCTGGCTTCCCTCAGCAGGGGCACCAAAATTGGTACCTGGAAATTGCCTGGCTTGGACAGGCAGAATTGTCACTGTCAACCCCCACCACCAAAGGTCTTGGGTCTTTGTCTTTCTGCTTGTGGTGTTTGAGAGAGCTGCTTGACACAGCCGAGGTGCGGTCTGTGTCAGGTGACCTGGGCATCCTGGGGGTGCAGGGAGAAGCCCAGGTAAGGAGGAGGAGGGGCCGGTCATCAGTGGGGAAAAGTGATTGTCTACCCCACGGGAAGGTCAAGGGTAGGACGCTGTGAGAAGCCAGGGGGAGAGATGAAGTGAGGCATGATGCGGGGGGCCCTCATCCACCATCCCCCTCTTGCAGCTGTGCTGGGAAGAGCCTAGGCTCCAGGGTCCAAGGTGGCAGGGACAGAAGGAAGCACGTGTGAGCACTTTCTCCCTGCTGGCCCGCCTTCCTGGTTGGCAATGCCGTGAGTGTTCCAGGATGTGGCCCCGTGGCTGTCATTTCCTTTCTTCCACCTAGTGATAACAATGGCCACTGTTTGTGTGCCCACAGTCGGCCTGTGTCCCAGACACCTTCCCTCCATTGCGTCATCTCGTCCTCCTGCCTACCCTGAAGGCTGGATGCCAGCCAAGCCTGTCGTTTCTGTGGCCATGCTGTCGTGGGTGTGTGGGGGGCATCCCCTAGCCCCAGGCTCTGGTGGGGGGTACACAGGCTGGGCCATTGACGAAGGGGTGTGTGGAATCTTTCTTTGATTTCACTGCACCCCTGGTGACTTTCTCCCTCAATCTGAGGCTCATGGGTGCTGGATGCTCTTGACTCTCTGCCCTTCCTGGGCGCACCCCTCCGCGTCCCTGTGGGCCCGTCCTCGGGGTAGCCTCTCTGCGCTCTTCCAGGCCAGGCCTGAGTCCCACAGGTCCCCATCTTCCCGGCTGCAGCCCCCAGAGGCTCAGCCTATACTGCTACTTCCTTTGAAAACTATAATCGCTTTACATAGCATCTGGAAAATAGGGAAAAGGAAAAAACAAAAGCCCATAAACCCAGCACCCTCATCTACTCAATGGCATGTTTTCTGTCAGTCTATCTTGGTTTGTTTTCTATCAGGCTTTGTTTTTTCTATGCATAATATTTACTCAGTTAAATTTTTGTTTTGACAAACTTTCTGTGAGCCAAGCTTGTGGACGGAGATGAAAAGACGAGCAGCTGCCTTTGAGAAACTCAGACTCTGGGCCAGCCCATCTGGGTGCCAGCTTTCACTGCTCCACCCACTAGCTGGGTGACCCTGGGCCCGTGACTTTACCCCTCTGTTCTTTGGTGTTCTCATATGTAAAATGAGGATAATAATAGTAACCAGTTCATAGAGTGGTTGTCAGACAGAATGATTAATGTACGTAAAGCTTTCAGGATGGTGCCAGCAAGATGCACAGGAGTGTTTGGTAGGAGGATGACGAAGCTTACCGTCTGGCAGGAGGGGCAGTTGTAACATGCTGGGCTGTGATAGTACAGATGTGTTTAAAGTGAGGGAGAGCCCAGAGCAAGGAGAGAGAACCTGGCATCTGGTGATGGTGTATCAAGAACATTTTAGGCCAGACACGGTGACTCACACCTGTAATCCCAGCACTTTGAGAGGCTGAGGCAGGCAGATCGCTTGAACCCGGGCGTTCGAGACCAGCCTGAGCAACGTGGTAAGACCCTGTCTTTATAATTTTTTTTTTTTTTTTTCTGAGACGGAGTCTTCACTCTGTCACCTAGGCTGGAGTGCGGTGGTGCTATCTTGGCTCACTGCAACCTCCACCTCCCGGGCTCAAGTGATTCTCCTGCCTCAGTCTCCCAAGTAGCTGGGATTATAGGTGCCCACCACCATGCCCAGCTAATTTTTTTATATTTTTAGTAGAGACGGAGTTTCACCATGTTGGTCAGGCTGGTCTCAAATTCCTGACCTCAAGTGATCTGCCCTCCTCAGCCTCCCAGAGTGCTGGGATTACGGGCATGAGCCACCATGCCTGGCCTCTATAAAAATTGTTTGGAAGAAATTACCTAGGCCTGGTGATACACACCTGTAGTCCTAGCTACTCAGGAGGCTGAGGTGGAAGGAGGTAGAGGCTGCAGTGAGCCATGATTGAGCCACTGTACTCCAGCCTGGGCAACAGAGCCAGACCCTGTTTCAAAACAACAACAACAAAAACATTTTTAAGGAGGAGGCTGAGAACCACGAGAACCAAGCTTGGATTTGAAGAAGGATCAGGGCTTTCTCAGACAGAAAAGGAGAGGAAGAACATTCCAGATAGACATCATTGAGAGATGGCACTGAGCCTTGTAATGGGACACTGCGAACTTTTCTTCAGTTGTTATGATCTTTTTTTTTTTTTTTTTGAGACGGAGTTTCGCTCTTGTTGCCCAGGCTGGAGTGCAATGGCGCCATCTCAGCTCACCGCAACCTCCGCCTCCCAGGTTCAAGCGATTCTTCTGCCTCAGCCTCCCAAGTAGCTGGGATTACAGGCATGCGCCACCATGCCTGGCTAATTTTTTGTATTTTTAGTAGAGACGGGGTTTCTCCATGTTGGTCAGGCTGGTCTCAAACTCCTGACCTCAGGTGATCCGCCCGAGTCGGCCTCCCAAAGTGCTGGGATTACAGGCGTGAACCACCGTGCCTTGTTGGTATAATTATTAGTATTGATCTTTTTTCCTTTTCATGTGCCTCTTAGTGGGCCCCTTGCTTTTGTCTTCCTTCTGTCCCCAGGGTTGATCCTGTGCTCAGCACATAGGCCAGGGAAGAATGTGGCTGTGACCCAGTGTCCACTCAGATGTCCTCTCTCCCCCAGGGCACCCATACTCTGTCCTTAGTGTCTTTTGTCTGGTGACATCTTGGCACAGAGGCAGAGGGCGGCCTCCGTCTGATTGGCGCCTGGCTTTGGTGACAGTACCTTAGGAAGGCAGTGTATTTTCTGGGAACCTAGGAAATAACAAGGTATCTAATTCCATCATCAACACTGGGGACAATTTCCATGGCAGAAACTATGACTCTGAATATGCAGCGTAAAGTTACCACCCAGACACTGCTGCTCCTGAGTCTCGAATGGCATCTTCTGCAGGGGCTCCCCCACCTGCCCCTGCAGAAGGTGCAGTTCGTTCATTTCCAAGGAGCTTGCTTTTGTGTGCTGTCTCTCGGAGCTCTTTGGGAAACCTGTGGTAGCAGGAAACAAAGGATTTAGACCAATGCCGATGATCCCCTTGCTCCGATAGAGTGTGACATGATGCTGGTCACCTTTTGGTATCTAGGAGGGGGGACATTGATTTTGTTTGCGGAAGTGAAATGATCCATGCTGGCCTCTTTTTTTTTTTTTTTTTTTGAGACAGAGTCACCCTATCGCCCAGGCTGGAGTGCAGTGGCGCGATCTCAGCTCACTGCAACCTCTGCCTCCCGGGTTCAAGTGATTCTCCTGCCTCAGCTTCCCGGGCAGCTGGGACTACAGGCGCCTGCCACCACATCTGGCTAATTTTTGTATTTTTAGTAGAGGCAGGGTTTCGCCATGTTGGCCAGGCTGGTCTCGAATTTCTGACCTCAAATGATCCGCCCGCCTCAGCCTCTCGAAGTGCTGGGATTACATGCCTGAGCCACTGTGTCTGGTCCATACTAGCCTCTTTGAGTGCTGAAAGGTTATCTCTGTAACTTATTTAGTGAGAACCCTCCATTTGCCCAGGGCATTACTGCCTATAATGTATGTTCACATGTGCTATCTCCTTTGGTCAATACCACACACTACAGGTGAGGAAACTGAGTCTCTGCTGGGACACTGGGTCAGGAAGCAGGCAGTTAAGGTCACCTGTGCACAGTGGCAGCACAGGGGGACAGCCTTCTAGGTAGCCAGCCTGGCCTGAGGGTTCTGTCACTTTTACCTCCCACTCAGTGTTGTTTCTCTTTCTTTCCCCTCCTTTTAAGATCCCTCCAGGCCCAGGATCTGGGGACAACGCTGGTGGGGAGTGATCTGGGTGTCTGTGCAGGAAACCGCTGCACTGGGTGAGATGGGCATGGGAGACTGTGCCTGGCTGACCAGAGACCTCGTTTTCTTCCAGACAGAGGGGGAAGACGGTGGGGCCTCCCCACCTGCCCCGCAGAAGATGCAGTTCTTTGGCCGCCTGGTCAATACCTTCAGTGGCGTCACCAACTTGTTCTCTAACCCATTCCGGGTGAAGGAGGTGGCTGTGGCCGACTACACCTCGAGTGACCGAGTTCGGGAGGAAGGGCAGCTGATTCTGTTCCAGAACACTCCCAACCGCACCTGGGACTGCGTCCTGGTCAACCCCAGGAACTCACAGAGTGGATTCCGGTGGGTGATGCTCAGCGGGAACATACTTCTCTCCTTTCACTCCCCCACGTCTCGGATTGGAGGTCTTATTGGCCGAGAAGCAGTTTCTTTGAGTCTCTGTCTGAGGGGTCTGGAGAGGGGTGGGAGAGAGGGGAGACTGTACTCTTGGACCAGAGGGAAGGGCTTCCGAGACTCCACACTTCTGGCCCATCAGTGTCCCAGCACGAGGCTGAGGATGGAAGCCTGGGTTGTTTCTGGCCTGGAGGCTCGACCTATATGGACAAAGGGAAGAAGGAAGGACAGGGAGACTGAGAGTGTCCACATCAGATAAGGCCCATGGGGAGAACCTTTAGCCCTGGCTCTTTATTTTTGGTTTTGGTTTTTGTTTTTTGAGACAGTCTTGCTCTGTTGCCCAGGCTGGAGTGCAGTGGCGCAATCTCGGCTCACTGCAACCTCTGCCTCCCAGGTTCAAGCGATTCTCCTGCCTCAGCCTCCTGAGTAGCTGGGATTACAGGCACCCACCACCACGCCCAGCTGATTTTTGTATTTTTAGCAGAGACGGGGTTTCATCATATTGGCCAGGCTGGTCTCAAACTCCTGACCTCAGGTGATCTGCCCACCTTGGCCTCCCAAAGTGCTGGGATTGCAGGCGTGAGCCACTGCACCTGGCCTAGCCCTGGCTCTTTAAGGGCATGGCCGTTCTCATAGGGGCTGCCCAGGGTTTGCTTAGGAAGGCTGGACAGAGCTGTTGCCTCTTGGGGCATGCTGGGACTCCCCTGGGCCTGAAGAGAAGGCTCAAAAGCCAGGACAGGCCTGAGGGAACCGGGCCAACGGCAGAGCTGGTTGGGAAAAGGGGAGAAGCAGCCAAGGTTCCAAATGCAGGCCCCAGCAGTGCTTGGCAGACTGGCATCTAGTTGGGCTCAGACAGATATCCCTGTTTCCGCTCACCTATCCATCTGGCTGTCCTGTCAGCCATCCATTCAACATGCACCAAGCACCTCCAGTGTCTCCAGAGTCCTGGGCTTCGGGCCAGTCCTGGCTGGCCTGTGAGATGACAAACATGTCCTGTGTCTTTAAGGAACGTACAGTCTGGTGGGGGAGGTCCGGTGCAAACAGGCGTCATAGCACCCCTTGAGGAGTGCTGTGACAGAGGGAGAGCCTAGGAAACAGTGTGGATCACAAGGAGGTGATTGAGAGCTACTCTGCGTCTGGAAGAGTGAGGAGGAGCCTGTGTGGCAGAACAAAATGGATAAGGTCGTTCCAGCCGTGCAGAAGTGTGGAGGTGTGAGCCTGCAGGCAGGTGGCTCTGGTTGGATCCCAGGTGCATGCAGGGCTTTGGTGAGAGTGAGGCTGAAGGAAGCAGCTGGGGACTCATTCTGACTAAAGAGGCATGGCAGGAGGGGTCTCTGAAAGTGTCAGGCTGGGGGCCAGGGGCTGCCACCAACAGAAGAGCAAGGCAGGTATCAGGGCCCCATCCAATCAGGTGAGAATTCAGAGCCTGGCTCCACAAGGAACCTGAGGCAGAGGCACCCACAGCAGGTGCTTGGGCTAAATGCAGCTCAGTGGCCAGTGCAGGCACCAGTTTTAATACAGTGGGGCCATTCCAGATTCTGAGTGCAGATGGGGCTGAGCAGACCGCCTTCCAGCTGGACTCGATCAGGACTGACCCTGGACGGGGCAGGCTTGCACTTGTAGCTTCAGAGCTCCACTGCAGGCACAGCTGACCAGGGCAGCGGGTCCACTCCTTGGAGAGCTGGACAGCCCCACTTTTGAGGTACACGGCCCTGGGGATACCACTAATCTCCACGTACCAATAATCACCAAGTTCTGTCAGTTGTAAAATCCCTTGACAGGATTCCAGATTTGTCTCAGCCAGCTTAAGCCCCAGTGTGGGCAGACCTCCATCCCAGGAGGATTTAGTCCTTTGTCAGCAGCTTCTTAGCTACACGTAAGCTATTCTGTGGTACTTTATAGTTTACAGGATTTTTTGTTTTCTTTTTTTTTTTTTTTTGAGACAGAGTCTCGCTCTGTCACCCAGGCTGGAGTACAGTGACGCGATCTCGGCTTACTGCAAGCTCCGCCTCCCAGGTTCACGCCATTCTCCTGCCTCAGCCTCCCAAGTAGCTGGGACTACAGGCACCCGCCACCACGCCTGGCTAATATTTTGTATTTTTAGTAGAGATGGGGTTTCACCATGTTAGCCAGGATGGTCTCAATCTCCTGACCTCGTGATCCGCCTGCCTCGGCCTCCCAAAGTGCTGGGATTACAATTTTACAGGATGTTTTTAAGTATGTTGGGTTAGCACATTCTCTGCCAATCCGTGGAGGTGGGCAAGGAAGGCAGTATTCCATTTTATGCATGAGAAAATAGCCTTGGGATGATAAGTGATTCATCCCACTTATACACAGGAAGCAGTGAAGAAACAGAATCAGTGTCTTCTGGTTCCCAATTCATTTCTCTGTGCTGCTGTGTTGTTTCCATGTATGTATGTATGTATTTATTTTTTTGAGACGTTAAGTCTTGCTCTGTTGCCCAGGCTGGAGTGCAGTGGCATGATCTTGGCTTACAGCAACCTCTGCCTCCTGGGTTCAAGCTATTCTTCTGCCTCAGCCTCCCGAGTAGCTGAGACTACAGGTGCGTGCCACCATACCTGGCTAATTTTTGTGTTTTTTAGTAGAGACAGGGTTTCACTGTGTTAGCCAGGATGGTCTTGAACTCCTGACCTCGTGATCTGCCTGCCTTGGCCTCCCAAAGTGCTGGGATTACAGGCATGAGTCACCATGCCCGGCTTTGTTTGTCTTATTTCTAAATTTTATTGATTTATTTATTTTCACAGTCATAGCTCTGGAGTCTTTTTTATCTTCTCCCCTCTAACCTGCTCCCACCCGAACCTTTCCATTTCAGCAGATAGCATCATTGCAACGGGCTGTGCCAGATCCAGCCATCACATCCACCTTTCCAGCCAAAGGGAGGGTGGAAGGGCAGGATGCAGAAGGTCAATCTCCCCCTCCTCAGGGACATTTCATGGAAGTTGCACGCATTGGCCAGAACCCGGTCACATGGCCACAGCTAACTGCAAAGGATGCTGGGAAGTGTTGCCTGTGTTGCAGACAGCCACGTGCCAGTCGAAAATCAGAGGTTCTTTCTCCCTCCGTCTTGCTGCTGGCTCGCTTCTCCAGACCACAGTCATTGTGCACGTGTCTCCTGCTGCTCCGGCTGTGGCCTGCACTCCTCTCATCCTCTTCCAAGCTGCTGTCACAGCGCTGTTTCCAGAGGGCAAATCTGATTGGTCACTCCCCTGCTTTACTCCCCAAGGGCTTCCTGTTTTCTTTTATTTTTATTTTTATTTTCATTTTTTGAGATGGAGTCTCGCTCTGTCGCTCAGGCTGGAGTGCAGTGGCACAATGTCAGCTCACTGCAAGATCTGCCTCCTGGGTTCATGCCATTCTCCTGCCTCAGCCTCCCAAGTAGCTGGGACTACAGGCGCCCGCCACCACGCCCAGTTAATTTTTTTTGTATTTTTAGTAGAGACGGGGTTTCACCATCTACTCTTAGCCAGGATGGTCTCGATCTCCTGACCTTGTGATCTGCCCGCCTCAGCCTCCCAAAGTGCTGGGATTACAGGAGTGAGCCACCGCGCCCGGCCAGCTTCCTGTTTTCTTAACACATCAGGTGCTTAATGACTTAAAAGGGCCCAGTGTGATCAAGTTTCTGCCTCTGTGTTCTCAGCTCATGCCGCCTTGTGCTCCTGGCCTTTGCCCAGGCTCTTGCTGTGGCCTGGAATACTCCCCTTTCTTTGCCTGCCTTCCTTCCTCTTGCCCTCCCCTGACCTGCAGGCTGGATTAGGAGTTTCTGCTGGGCATCCCATGGCACCCGTCCCTGCACTGGGGATCCTGCTTTCCTGGTAGGCCACAGACCTTGTGAGGGGAGGGACTGTGTCTGTTGGGTTCATGACAGTGTGCCCAGCCCCCAGCAGGTGCCTGGCGTAGATCAGGTTTGTGGAACAAATGAATGTGATATATTAATTTAGCTTTAGAGTATTCATTGAGGGCTGCTGTGTGCCAGGCCCTCTGTGCCACCTGGGTGGAGGGTGGAGGACTGTTGCATTGAGGGCAGTTGAAGGAGTGAGCTGGGAAGTGGGAGGTGGAGGATGGGGACTGGGATGCAGGGTTTGAGGTTATCAGGGGTCCCAGAAGCAGTAATGCCAAGGCCTAGGCTGTGACCTGGAGTGAGGGCTGCGATGGGGTGGGGTGGGGTCGAGGCTGTGGAGGAGGGTCATCAGGGCACTGCTGGAGCCCTGGGGTTCTCCAGGGCCGGGGGTGGTCATTGCAGTGTTCTCCCAGCTCCTCTCAACACCCTGCGGTCTGTGGAGAGCAGGCCTGGTGCACTGGACTTGCCTCTGGCCAGGGCTGAGTTTCTGCCTTCTAAACGATCTTCCTCCTGTGTTGCCCTAGAGGCCTCTGGACTGTCCTGAGTACTTGACGCGTGTTAGAGTGAGCATGGGCTGCTAGCCTTCCGCTCCAGGTGGAGGAGTTTCTGTTGTTCTTTTGCTGCTGTTGCTGCAGTGAGCTGCCAGGCTGAGCTTCTGGATGGACCTGGGGGATGGAATTAGGAGCTTCTGAATTCTTGGGTTGTATAACCTAAGGCCGGAGAGTCCCACAGCACTGCTGCTGGGCGGAGAGACTGGACCCTGCTGATACAGACAGCGACAGCAGCAGGAGCATCTGCAGTTTCCCAGCAGGTCCTGCATGCCTGGGCTTGGCACTAGTCTAAGTAGTAACTCATGTTATCCTCACGACAGTCCCACGAGGTGGGGTCATTACTGACCTCCTATTACAGATGAGGAAACAGAGGCTTGCAGAATTTGAGATCACACAGCTGGTCAGCGTAGCGATTATTCAGACCCTGTCACCTGGCTCCAGAACCCACTCGTTTACCTTTCTTACATCAGGGCTGCTTTGTAGTGTGGCGAGCTGAGTGGAGCTCCACCCGCCTGGGCTGATCCTGGCCCTTCCTGCCTGACCTATGGTGCGGGGGCCCTGGCTCTCCCCGTGTGAGCCCCCAGGGGTCACTTGTAATATGCCTGTGTACACTATGATAGCATAGATACTTCTGTTCCTGGTACAGATTAATCATTTACGGCTGGCATTGACTTGTAACAGATGACATTTGATGAAATCAACCAGCCTCTCACTGGTATCTCAGCAGAAACAGGGCTGTACCTCCCAGGCATCCTGGGAAGGATGATAGAAGTGTGTGATCTGTGCTTCCCTACCGGGAGCTGACTTTTGAGGCTCTCTGGACTGGGACTTTGCCATAAAACTGCTTATCAGAAACCTCAGATAAGTGGAGTGCCCTGTGTCCTGGCCACGTACTCTGGGGCCAGCTCCTCCATCCATTCAGTCCTCCCACATCCCATCTTCACCAAGCAGAGTGGAAAGCGGCAGGTCTCTGCGAGAAAAGGAGGCTCTGTACCCAGCCTTCAGTGAGATAACTTTAGAGTGGGGCCTTGTATTCCCTACACAGGCCTTGTCCCCGACACGGCCTCTTTGCCCTTGCTTCTCCTTCTGCTAAGAATGCTCCTTCCCAACTCCTTGGCTGGACACACGGCTCCTGCTCTGTGGGCCTGTCCTGTTCCCACTCAGAGCCTCAGCACCCCCCATGTGGCCAAGACACAGCCCCTCTTGCCTTAGGTTGCCGTGGGTCTGTTTCCACATCTGTTTCCCCTCCAGACTGCAGGGCTCCTGAGGGACAGGGCCTGGGGCCAAGTCTCCTCTGCGTTCCTGATGCCTGGTGGTGTGCCACGCTCTCCGTGGGTGCACGGTAAATATCTGCCGAGTGGCTAGATGTATCCATGGTTGCTGAAGGCCAAGTGTGTTGACCAGAGGGCGTGGGAAAGGCTCCACTGGGGTGGCTGGGGTAGAGATAGACCTTAAGGGGTCCAGAAGACTCCACCAGCTGGAGGGAAAGGCCCTACAGAGACAAGGTACTAGGAAAGGCCCAGAGGACAGAGGAGGGGCCCTGTGGGGAGCCTGTGGGCAGGAAGGGCCTGTGCTGGGCTTTGAAACTGGGGACTCAGGTACTGCTCTAGCGTGAGGGTCCTTGGCATTTTTTTTGGTCCAGGACCCCCTGAGGTCCCTGGGGAATGAGAACAGGCTCACACAGCCACTTTCAAGAGGTTTGCAGGTCCCCTGAGGCTTAGCCACAGACCCCTCCCACCCCAGCAGAGACACAGCAGAGGCTTCTGAGTGGAGGCCAGGTGGCTTCAGCCTGGGGTTCTAGAAGGGAGGGAAGAGACACACCCCCGTGTGTCCTCCAGAGCCTCAGCCTTCTCCCTGAATCTCCCCTTTGCCTCCTCACTGTAACCCACACCTGGCTCTCCTTGAAGGACCCGCTTGCCCCGCAGCCTCCTGAGAGTTTTCTCTCCCAGTCCCTCTCCCACTGGGCCTGGAGGTGGGGTAGGGTCCTCCTTGCCCCCAGCCTTGAATCTTCTGTCACCCTACAATACCACTTGCTGTCACCCCGGTGATAGGTATCTACGAGCCTGGGGTGCTCCCCCACATCCTCAAAGATGTGAGCCCCTGACTCAGCGTTGCCTCTGGTTCCTGACCCTCCACATTCACATGACCACGCGCTGGCCTTTATCATCGCCAGTGACAGCAGCTCTCCCGTAAATACAAGTTTCAAGCACCCCACTTTCCAGTCTCTGCCTTCTGTCTTTCCAGTTCATTCCCTCTAGTCCTCCACCCACACAGTGCTTTTCCCCATTGACAGGGAATTGCTCCTGGCCGCTTTTCCCAGCCCCATCCCGTTCATGTGCCTTGCTTTGTACCCAGCATGGACTCCATGGCCTGTCATTGTCACTCCTTCACCTATACTTCCTGCCTCCTTGCTTCTCTCTCTCTTCGTCATCCTGGCATCACCACCCCAGAACTGCTTGGTTTCAGTTCTCCACCATGGCTAGGGGAACATACCTTTTTGCTGACTGCTCTCACTTTCTTTTTTTTTTTTTTTCTTTTTTTTTTTTTTGACACAGAGTCTCGCTCTGTTGCCCAGGCTGGAGTGCAGTGGCACACTCTCAGCTCACTGCAACCTCCACCTCCGGGGTTCAAGCAGTTCTCTCTGCCTCAGCCTCCTGAGTAGCTGGTATTATAGGCACCCGCCACCACACCCGGCTAATTTTTGTATTTTTTTTAGTACAGACAGGGTTTTGCCATGGTGGCCAGGCTGGTCTTGAACTCCTGACCTCAGGTGATATGCCTGCCTTGGCCTCCCAAAGTGCTGGGATTACAGGCATGAACCACCCTGCCCGGCCCTATTGCTCTCACTTTGAAATCACGACATGAGCCACAGTGAGCCTATGATGTGGTTTGACGTCTTTCTGCATTTCTCTGTTCACCCCTCTCCCAGAAGGCATGCCTCCTTCCCTCCCCTCAGCCTGCAGCCCCTTCCCCTCCACGCTTACTCTCAGCTGATAGCCCTGCTGCTGTCTCGCTGAGAAAATAGAAATAGCCAGAGGAGAATTCCCTCTACCCCATGCACACACCTCTGTCCCCGCCTACTCCACATTCCCTGTTGTCAGCACCGATGTGTTTAGCTGAGGGTGGTCCCCCCATTCAAGGCCATCATCTCCTGTCATCTACTTCTTGACACCATTTGAACAATTATCTCCCCTCTTTCCTACATAACACTTTCCCCTTTTCTACTATATATTTTTTGCTATGGATTGAAAGTATCCCCCCGAAATCATATGTTGAAGCCCCAATCCCTCGTGTGATGGTATTAGGAGGTAGAGCACTATGGGGGTGATTAGGTCATGAGGATGGAGCCCTCATGAATGGGATTAGTGCCCTTAGACGAAGAGGCAAGAAAGAGATGATCTGTCTCTGCCATGTGAGGGCACAACGAGAAGATAGCCATCTGCAAACCAGGAAGTGAACCCTCATCAGGAACTCTATCAGCCAGCACCTTGATCATAGACTTCCTAGCCTCTAGAACTGTGAGAAATAAAGGTTGTTTAAGCCTCCCAGTCTGTAGTTTTCTGTTATAATGTCCTGACCTAAGTTATTTTCCATCGCTATACAATGGGTTATTTTTTTCTTTAAAAAAAAATTATTTCTTGACTCTACTTTTTCCTCCAGAGACTGCTTATATTCCACTGTCTTCATTCTTCTCCTCCTGTTTTCTCTCTTTAAACTTTTCAAAAATAGCAAAATATAACACATATAGAGAAAATGATATACAGCTCAGTGATTTATCACAAACACCTGTGTAACCACCACTCGAATCTAGAGATAGGACATTACAGCACCCCAGAAGCCCTCCTTTTGTCCCCTCTTCCCAAAGAAGGGTAACCAATAACTTGCCTTTTATGATAAAGGCTTTTTTTTTTTGAGATGGAGTCTCACTGTGTTGCCCAGGTTGGAGTGCGGTGGCGCAATCTCTGCTTACTGCAAGCTCTGCCTCCTGGGTTCACGCCATTCTCCTGCCTCAGCCTCCTGAGTAGCTGGGACTACAGGTGCCCGCCACCACGCCCGGCTAATTTTTTGTATTTTAGTAGAGACGAGGTTTCACCGTGTTAGCCAGGATGGTCTTGATCTCCTGACCTCGTGATCCACCTGCCTCAGCCTCCCAAAGTGCTGGGATTACAGGCGTGAGCCACCGCCCCCGGCCAAGATAAAGGCTTTTCTATCTGGCTTCTTTGTTAGCATTTTGTTGGCGAGATTGATACGTTTTGTGTGCAGCTGTCTGTCATTTTCATTGCAATAGAATTCCATTGTCTACTATATCACAGTTACTCATTCTACTACTGATGAAAATTTGGGTTATTTCTAGTTTTTTTGGTGCATACATGCATACATTTCTGGTAGACATACCTAGAAGTGAACTGGCTGCATTATGGGCCATAACTTGTCTTCAACGTTAGTAAATAATACCGCCCGTCTGTTTTCCAAGCAGCAGTAAATGGCACTTTCTGTTACTTCATATCTTCTGTTACTTGGTACTGTCAGGTTTTAAAATTTTAGTCATTCTGTCGGGTGTCTAGTAGTATGTTATTGTGGTTTTATTTTGCATTTGCCTGATTGCAAATGAAGTTGAGCACTTTTTGATACAGTGATTAACCATTTGGATATCCTCTTCAGTGAAGTATCAGCTCAATTCTCTTGACTATTTAAAAAATAAAGTTGTTTATCTTTTTCTTACAGAGTTTTAGGAGGAGTTTTTTGGTACATGTGCAGTCCAAATACACACCTTTTGTCAGTGATACGTGTTCAGCTGCACACACGGTGTTTTGCCTTTTTATTCTTTTAATGGTATCTATTGATAAACATGAGTTCTTAGTTTTAATGAAGTCAAATTTGTTCATCTTCTTTACGGTGTACTTTTTGTGTCTTGTTTAAGGAAGTCCTTCTCTATCTTAAAGCTTTGAGAAGCATTCCTTCTTTCTCCTATTTTCTAAAAATTGTTGAAGATCTCCTTCCTTCCTTCCTTCCTTCCTTCCTTCCTTCCTTTCATCTATCTCTCTCTCACCCAGGCCAAACTTCAGTGGCATGATCATGGCTCACTGCAGCCTCAACTTCCCAGGCTCAAGTGATCCTCCTGCCTCAGCCTCCTGAGTAGCCAGGACTACAGGCACGCACCACCATACCTGGCTAATTTTAAAAATTTTTTGTAGAGACACGGTCTCATCAAGTTACCCAGGCTGGTCTTGAACTCCTGGGCTCAAACAATCCTCCCACCTCAGCCTCCCAAAGTGCTGGGATTACAGGCATGAGTCACATGTCTAGCCTGTATTCTTTCTTTCTTAAATGTTTGGAAGAATTCATGGGTAAAACCATGTGACCCTGGAGTTTATTTGTGGGAAGCTTTTAAAACATGGATTCGATTTCTTTAACAAATATAGGACTATGAGATTTTCATCTCATGTCGGTTTGGGTATGTTGTGTTTTCAAGGAATTTTTCTATTTTATCGAAGTTGTCAAATTTGTCTGCAGGTCCCCTTATTTCCTTTTTAATGTATGGAGGATCTGAAGGGATGGTACTTTGTGTTGTCTCTATTTCTTGTTTGGTTTTGCTAGTGATTTGCCAATTTAAAAAATCTTTCCAAAGAACCAACTTTTGGCTTTGTTTATTTTTTGAAAACCTGAGTAGCTGGGATTACAGGCGCCCACCACCACACCCGGCTAATTTTTTTATTTTTAGTAGAGGTGGGGTTTCACCATATTGGCCAGGCTGGTCTCGAACTCCTGACCTCAGATGATCCACCCGCCTCGGCCTCCCAAAGTGCTGGGATTACAAGTGTGAGCCAGTGTGCCTGGCAAGCCGCTTTTTAAATGGCACCAATCCCATTCATGAGGGCAGAGCCCTGATGATCGAATTACCTCCTAATGGCCCCATTTCTTAATACTATCACACTGAGAATTAAGTTTTAACATAAGAATTTTAGGAAGACACAAACATTCAGACCATGGAACATATATAAAACAGTTGTCCTACCAACTAACAGAATACACATTCTTTTCAAGAACACCTATATAAAAATTATAGACACTGACCTATGCTGGCCATAAAGCAAATATGAACAAATTTCAGATACCTGAAGAGATTTAGACTATGTTCTCCAACTACAGTGCAATTAAGCTAGAAATCAATAGCAAAAATGTAACTATAAATGAGCCCGTATGTTTGAATTTTAAGCAAGATATATGTAAATTATCTATGGTTCAAAAAAGAAGTCACAGTGAAATTTAGAAAATATCTTGACGTGGCGGGTTGCAGTGGCTCACGCCTGTAATCCCAGCACTGTGGGAGGCCAAGGCGGGTGGATCACCTGAGGTAAGGAGTTTGAGACCAGCCTGGCCAACATGGTGAAACCCTGTCTCTACTAAAAATACAAAACATTAGCCAGGCGTGGTGGTGGGCACCTGTGGTCACAGCTACTTGGGAGGCTGAAGCGGGAGAATCACTTGAACCCGGGAGGCAGAGGTTGCAGTGAGCCGAGATTGCACCACTGCACTCCAGCCTGGGCAACATGAGTGAAACTTCATCTCAAAAAAAAAAAAAAAAGAAAAGAAAAAGAAAATATCTTGACCCAATGATGATGCAAATACTACGTATCAAACTTGTAGGATGAACTTCCACTTCTGGCCATGACAGAGGAGCCTGTATCAGACTAGCCTTCCTATTTATATATTTATTTTTGAGATGGGGTGTCGCTCTGTTGCCCAGGCTGGAGTGCGGTGGTGCAATCTCAGCTCACTGCAACCTCCACCTCCTGAGTTCAAGTAATTCTCCTGTCCCAGCCTTCCAAGTAGCTGGAATTACAGGCGCCCACCACCACACCCAGCTAGTTTTTTATATTTTTAGTAGAGACGGGGTTTCACCATGTTGGCCAGGCTGGTCTCGACACCTGACCTCAGGTGATCCACCTGCCCCTGCCTCCCAAAGTGCCGGGATTACAGGTGTGAGCCACTGCGCCTGGCCGTGAGTGACCTTTTTAATGTGTTGTTGAATTTGATTTGCTGGTATTTTGTTGAGAAGTTTTGCATCAATATCCATCAGGGATACTGGCCTGTAGTTTT
The DNA here is from genome assembly GCF_000001405.40 of Homo sapiens. Taxonomy (NCBI): domain Eukaryota; kingdom Metazoa; phylum Chordata; class Mammalia; order Primates; family Hominidae; genus Homo; species Homo sapiens. Next base: position 38,157,655 of record NC_000022.11, on the reverse strand, counting down.
CTTTTTTTATATGTCTTTGTCTGGTTTTGGTGTCAGGGCAATACTGGCCTCATAGAATGAGTTTGGAAGTTTTCTCTCCTCTGTTTTTCATAATAGTTTGAGTAGGGTTGGTATTAGTTTTTGTTTAAATGTTTGGTAAAATTAAGCAGTGAAGCCACTGGGTCCCAGGCTTTTCTTTGCTGGGAGACTTTTCATTACAGCTTTGATCTCATTACTTGTTATTGGTCTATTTAGGTTTTGGATTTCTTCACGGTTCCATCTTGGTAGGTTGTGTATGCCTAGGAATTTATCCATTTCTTCTAGGGTTTTCAATTTATTGGCATATAATTGTTCACAGTAACCTCTAATAATCCTTTGAGTTTCTGTGATATTGGTTGTAATATCTCTTTTGTCATTTCTGATTTTTTTGTTTGGGTTTTCTCTCTTTTTTTGTTAGTCTAGTTAAAGATTTATTGATTTTGTTTATCTTTTCAAAAAACTTTATTTTGTTGATCTTTTGTATTGTTTTGTTTCAATTTCATTTATTTCTGCTATGATCTTTATTATTTCTTTTCTTCTACTAATTTTGGGTTTGGTTTGCTCTTTTCTAGTTCTTTAAGAGACATCATTAGATTATTTTGAAGTTTTTCTACTTACTTGATGTAGGTGCTTATAGGTACAACTTTCCTCTTAGTACTTCTTTCCCTGTATCTCACAGGTTTTGATATGTTGTGTTTCCATTATCATTTGTTTCAGGATGTTTTTAAATTTCCTTCTTAATTTCTTCATTGACCATTCAAGAGCATATTATTTCATTTCCATGTGTTCGTATGGTGTGCAAAATACCTTGTTTTTGATTTGTAGTTTTATTTCATTGTGATCACAGAAGATACTTGATATGATTTCAAATTTAAAAAGTAATTTGGCTGGGAGAAGTGGCTCATGCTTGTAATCCCAGCGCTTTGGGAGGCCGAGGCAGGCAGATCACGAGGTCAGGAGATCGAGACCATCCTGGCTAACACAGTGAAACCCCGTCTCTACTAAAAATACAAAAAATTAGCCAGGCATGGTGGCAGGTGCCTGTAGTCCCAGCTACTCAGGAGGCTGAGGCAGGAGAATGGTGTGAACCCGGGAGGCAGAGCTGGTAGTGAGCCGAGATCGCGCCGCTGCACTCCAGCCTGGGTGACAGAGCAAGACTCTGTCTCAAAAAAAAAATAATAACAATAATAATAATTTAAGACTTGTTTTGTGGCCTACCATATGGTCTATCCTTGAGAATGATCCATATGCTGAGGAGAAGAATGTGTATTCTGCAGCCGTTGGATGAAATGTTCTGTAAATATCTAATAGGTTCATCTGATCTATACTGCAGACTAAGGCTGGTGTTTCTTTGTTGATTTTCTGTCTGGATGAACTGTCTAATGCTGAAAGTGGAGTATTGAAGTCTCCAGCTATTATTGTATTGAGGTCTATCTCTCTCTTTAGCTCTAAGAATACTTCCTTTATATATCTGGGTGTTCCAGTGTTGAGTGCATATGTATTTAAAATTGTTACATTATCTTGCTGAATTGACCCTTTTATATAATGACCTTCTTTGTCTCTTTTTATAGTTTTTGTCTTGAAGTCTGTTTTGCCTCATAGAATAGCATAGCTATTCCTGCTCTTATTTGGTTTCCATTTGCATGGAATATCTTTCTCCATCCCTTTAGTTTCAGTCTATGTGTGTCTTTACAGGTAAAGTGTGTTTCATGTAGGCAACAGATCACTGGGTCTTGTTTTTCTATCCGTTCTGCCACTCTGTGTCTTTTGATTGGAGAGTTTAGTCCATTTATGTTCAATGTTATTACTGACAAGTAAGGACTTACTCCTGCCACTTTATTAATTATTTTCTTGTTGCTTTGTGATCTTCTTTCTTTCCTTCCTGTTCTCCTTTTAGTGAAGGTGATTTTCTCTGGTGGTATGTTTTAATTTCTTGCTTTTTATTTTTTTGTGTGTATCTGCTGTATGTTTTTTGATTTGAGGTTAACATGAGGCTTGCAAATAATATCTTATAACCTAATATTTTAAACTGATGACACCTTAACACTGATTGCATAAACAGACAAACAAGCAAAGAGAAAACTAATAAAAACTCTACATTTTAACTTTGTCCCCCCACTTTTTAACTTATTGTACTGTTTATGTCTGAAAAGTTGTAGTTATTATTTTTGATTGGTTCCTCTTTTAGTCTTTCTACTCAAGATATGAGTGGTCTACATATGACAGTGTTATAATATTCTATATGTTTCTGTGTACTTGCTATTACCATTAAGTTCTGTACTTTCAAGTGATTTCTTATTGCTCATTAATGTCCTTTTCTTTCAGATTGAAAAACTCCCTTTAGCATTTAGCAGTATGTGAACTGCATTTTTCAAGTCCAGAATTTCTGCTTGATTCTTTTTTTTTTTTTTGAGATGGAGTCTTGCTCTGTCGCCCAGGCTGGAGTGCAGTGGCGCGATTTCCGCTCACTGCAAGCTCTGCCTCCCGGGTTCACACCATTCTTCTGCCTCAGCCTCCCGAGTAGCTGGGATTACAGGCGCCCGCCACCACGCCTGGCTAATTTTTTGTATTTTTAGTAGAGATGGGATTTCACCATGTTAGCCAGGATAGTCTCGATCTCCTGACCTTGTGATCCGCCTGCCTTGGCCTTCCGAAGTGCTGGGATTACAGGCGTGAGCCACTGTGCCCAGCCTGCTTGATTCTTTTAAATTATTTCAATCTCTTTGCTAAGTTTATCTGTTAGGATTCTGAATTCCTTCTCTGTGTTAGCTTGAATTTCACTGAGTTCCCTCAAAACAGCTATTTTGAATTCTCTGTCTGAAAGGTCACATATCTCTGTCTCTCCAGAATTGGCCACTGGTACCTTAATTAGTTCATTTGGTGAGGTCATGTTTTCCTGTATGGTCTTGATGCTTGTGATGTTCGTCAGTGTCTGGGCATTGAAGTTAGGTATTTATTGTAGTCTTTGCAGTCTGGGCTTGTTTGTATCTGTTCTTCTTAGGAAGACTTTCCAGGTAATAAAAGGGACTTGGGTATTGTGATCTAAGTTTTTGGTCACTGCAGCCATATCTGCATTAGGGGGCACCCCAAGCCTACTAATACTATGGCTCTTGCAGACTCGTAAAGGTACCACTTGGGTGGTCTTGGATAAGATCTGGAAGAATTCTCTGGATTACCAGGCAGAGGCTCTTGTTCTCTTCCCTTACTTTCTCCCCTAAAAGTGGAGTCTCTCTCTCTGTGCTGGGCCGCCTGGAGCTAGGAGAGGGGTGACACAGGCACCTCTGTGGCCACTATCACTAGGACTATGCTGGCTCAGACCTGAAGCCAGCACAGCACTGGGTCTCACCCAAGGCCTACAGTCTCCACTGCCTGGCTACTGCCTACGTTTGCTTAAGGCACTAGGGCTCTACAGTCAGCAGGTGGTGAAGCCAGTGAGATTATGTCCTTCCCTTCAAGGCAGCAAGTTCCCCCTACCCCCATCCTGGGAAGGTCCTTAGATGCCATCTGGGAGGCAGGGCCTGCAGTCAGAAACCTTAGTAATCTCCCCAGTGCTCTATTCTATTACAGCCTGGCTGATACCCAAGCCATAAGGCAAAGTCCTTCCTGCTCTTCCCTCCCCTTTCCACAAGCAGAGAAGTCTCTCTCCATGGCCACCACTGCCCCAGCCCTGTGGCAGTGCTGCCAGGCCACTGCCAACGTTCATTCAGGGCCTAAGGGCTCTTGAAGCAACTGAACACTGCCAGGCCTGGGACTCTCCCTTTAGGGTAGTGGGCTCCCCTCTGACCCAGGGCAGGTCCAGAACTGCCACCCCACAGCCAACACTTAGAATCTGGGACCCCAAGAGCCCTCTTGGTGCTCTGCCACACTGTAGCTGAGCTGGTACCTAGGCTGATTTTTGCTTTTTATGAAGGTACTTTTTTGTGTGTATAGTTCAATTTGGTTTTCCTCCAGGGAGGACAATTGGTGGAGGTTTCTATTTGGGCATCTTTTTTTTTTTTTTTTGAGACGGAGTTTTGCTCTTTCACCCAGGCTGGAGTGCAGTGGCGCGATCTCGGCTCACTGCAACCTCTGCCTCCTGGGTTCAAGCGATTCTCCAGCCTCAGCCTCCCCAGTAGCTGGGATTACAGGTGCCTGCCACCATGCTTGGCTACTTTTTTTTTCAATTAAAAAGTAAACTTTAATGTCGAAAATGCAAACTTGGGGAAGGCAGAAAGATCACACACAAGGCTGTCGCTTCACACTTGGAAGGTTGCACGGCGGCCAGGAGAGGCACTCCTCACTTCCCAGACAGGGCGGGGGCCGGGCAGAGGCGCTCCTCACTTGCCAGACGGGGCGGCGGCCACATGCCTGGCTAATTTTTGTATTTTTAGTAGGGACGGGGATTCTCCGTGTTGGCCAGGCTGGTCTCAAACTCCTGACTTCAGGTGATCCACGCACCTCGGCCTCCCAAAGTGCTGGGATTACAGGCATGAGCCACCGCGCCCAGCCCTATTTGGCCATCTTGCTTTGCCTCCACCTTCATTTGATAACAGAACACCCCCATGTAACCACCACCACAATCAAGATATAAGACATTTCTGTTATTCTCCAAATTTCCTTCACCCTCCTTTATAGTCCATGGCACCCACCCCATCCCTGGGCAACACCTATGTGCTTCCTTTTTTTTTTTCCCCGCAGGAGGACGTCTTCCTATACCTATGTGCATTCCATCACTGCTGCTTTTAATCATATAGCGTGTAGTCTTATGAGTCTGACTTTTTCACTTAGCATAATGCTTTTGCAATTTGTGATTGAGCGTTTTCATATGATTCTGTTTTTTCTGTCTCTTAGCTTGGAAGTTATACACTTTTTAGTAGTAACTGTTGGGAGATCGTTCTCCAAGAGTCTCTCTCATATTTCCATACATCCTGCTAGCAGAGACATTGACTACCTGTTTTTGTCTGTTTAGTGTTGCTATAAAGGAATACCTAAGTCTGAGTATTATACATAGAAAAGAGGTTTTATTTGTCTCATGGCTCCTCAGGCCATACAAGAAACATGGTGCCAGCATCTTACCAGTGTCACATGGCAAGAAAGGAAGTGAGGAAGAGAAAATAAGTTGTTAACTGGTTGTTAAAAAGTGCCAGGCACGGGCCAGGCACAGTGGCTCGTGCCTGTAATCCCAGCACTTTGGGTGGCCAAGGCGAGTGGATCACCTGAGGTCGGGAGTTTTGAGACCAGCCTGACCAACATGGAGAAACCCTGTCTCTACTAAAAAAAATACAAAAAAATTAGCTGGGCATGGTGGTGCATGCCTGTAATCCTAGCTACTCGGGAGGCTGAGGCAGGAGAATTTCTTGAATCCAGGAGGTGGAGGTTGCAGTGAGCCAAGATCACCTGGGCGACAAGAGCGAAACTCTGTCTCAAAGAAAAAAAAAGTGCCAGGCTCTTTTTAACAACCAGTTCTTACAGGAACTAATAGAGTGAAAACTCACTCACCCCCACCCCACAGGGAGGGCATTCATTCATGAGGGATCCACCCCTATGACCCAAACACCTCCCATTAGCCCCCCACCTCCAACATTGGAATCAAAATTTAACATGAGGTTTGGGGGGCAGAAATCCAAATTATAGCACTACCTTTGTTCCAGGCTACCTTCAAAGGATGTTTATACAGCAAACAGCCTTGGAAAATAGAGTTAGGGTCTCCTTGTAGAGCACAGGGTAAGTTTGCTTACTTTTCAGCATAATCAAGATTGTGTCTTCTTCTGGAGCAAAACTTTGACAACAACAAGCGGGGCAAAGTCTGAAACCTTTTGCACATCTTGACAGAACCTTAGAGATTACGAGATTTATCTCTGCCTTACTCAAGGTCCATTAGTATCTTCCAGAACAATAAGTTGGTCTTAGAATCCTTTAGCTATGTATTCCCTTCCAGGCTTCGATGCTGTGTGCTGTTGTTTTATTTAGTTTTTATTTTAAACCCAACAAGACGCTATACCATCAATACTTATTTAGATCCCCCCACATATTTAACTTGCCATGGTGCTTCATTCTTTCATGCCTCTTTAAGCATCCATCTAGGATCGTGTTCATTCCACATGAAGAGAAAGCTTTTGGCCCAGCACGATGGCTCACACCTGTAATCCCAGCACTTTGGGAAGCCTAGGCGGGAGGATCGCTTGAGCCCAGGATTTCCAGACCAGCCTGGGCTACGTGGCAAAACCCTGTCTCTACTGAAAATACAAAAAATTAGCCAGGTGTGGTGGTTCACGTCCCTGCTACTCGGGAGGCTGAGGTGGGAGGATTACTTAAACCTGGGAGGTTGAGGCTGCAGTGAGCGTTGATTGCACCACTGCACTCCAGCGTGGGTGACAGGAGTGAGACCATGTCTCCAAAAAAAAAAAAGAAGGAAAGAAAAAGCTTTTGTATTTCCTTTCGTGTAGGTCTGCTAATGACAAAGTCTCTGGGTTTTTTGTTTGACTAGAGAAATGTTTTAATTTTAACCTTATTCTTGAAGGTTTTGTTTTTGTTTTCATTTTGTTTTGTGTGCTAAGTACAGAATTCTCATTGGCATTTATTTATTTAGAGACAGAGTCTTGCTCTGTGGCCCAGGCTAGAGTACAGTGGCACGATCTCCGCCTCCCAGGTTCAAGCGATTCTCCTCCCTCAACCTCCTGAGTAGCTGGGGCTACAGGCATGCACCACTACACCTGACTAATTTTTGTATTTTTAGTAGAGACGGGGTTTCACCGTGTTGCCCAGGCTGATCTCAAACTCCTGAGCTCAAGTGATTTGCCTGCCTTGGCCTCCCAAAGTGCTGGGATTATAGGCATGAGCCGCCGTGCCTGGCCAGCATTTATTTTCTTTTCAGCTCTTTAAGGAAGTCATTCCATTATCTCTGGGTTCCATTGTTGAGAAGCCAGCTGTCATTCTAATGGTTGCCCTTTGAAGATAACTTTTTTCCCTCTGCTATTTTAAATATTTCCTCCTTGTATTTTATTTTCAACAGGTGTAATGTGGCACATATATCAGCAATTGTTATGTTACATACAATACATATTGTGCAACATATGTATCATTATCAGTTATTGCTGTGTAACAAACTACTCCAGAACACAGTGGCTTATAAAAGGAATCATTTATTTAGTCCTTAAATCTGCAATTTGAGCAGAGCTCAGTGGGAAAGCCTCAGCTTTACTTTATATGGCACCATATAAGGTAACTCGCAACTGGCAAGTTGGTGCTGGCTGTTGGCTGGTAGTTCATTCAGGGCTCAGGGCCCAGGACCAAGAGTCGTCACCATGGCTTGCTTCAGCCTCCTTGAGGCATGATGGCTGGGTCCCAAGAGAAGAGAAATAGAAACTTCCAGTCTCTTAAGGCATTGGTCTGGAAGCTGGGACGGCATCACTTTTGCCATATTCTGTTGGTAACGCAGTTACATCGCCAGATTAAAGGGTAAAGAGATACAAATTCCCACTGCTCAGTGCAAGGAATATCAGTGATTTTAGGGGGCCCTGTTTTAAAACCCCTACAAGGTGCTAAGCGTGGATTTCTGGGGCTTTCTTGTTTTTTGTTTTTTTCTATGTGTTTTTTTTTTTTTTTTTGGTGGTGGGGTCAGGGAGGGCTTATAGGGTATGTTAAATCAGCAGAATAATTTTATTTATTTATTTGGAGATGGAGTTTCACTCTTTTGCCTAAGCTGGAGTGAAGTAGCGTGATCAGAGATGGAGTTTCACTCTTTTGCCTAAGCTGGAGTGAAGTAGCGTGATCTCGGCTCACTGCAACCTCCGCCCCGCTGGTTCAAGCAATTCCCCTGCCTTAGCCTCCCAAGTAGCTGGGATTATAGGCACCCACCGCCACGCCCGGCTAATTTTTATATTTTTAGTAGACATGGGGTTTCGCCATGGCTAGTCTGGAATTCCTGACCTCAGGTGATCCACCCACCTTGGCCTCCCAAAGTGGTGGGATTACAGGTATGAGCCACTGTGCCTGACCTATAATGTTTTTTAAAAATCAGTTTTGGAAAGTTTGCAGACATTAACTTTTCAAATGTAGCTTCCATTTGATTCTTTTTCTACTCTGCCTCTGATCCTCCACTTATGTATGTATGCTAGATCTTTTATTAGATAGTCTGTGTCTCTTATGTACTCTACTATATTTTGTATTCTTCTGTCTCTCCATGCTTTATTCTGTTTACTCTTTCCTGATTATATTTTTTAATTTTGTAATTTCCATTTGATGCTTTTTTGATCATTCAAAACTCTTCACCAAAATTCTAAATTTCCTTTTTTAACCTCTCGAATGTTATCACAGTTACTTTAAAGTCTATTTTGGATAACTTAAATATTTACAGTCCCCTCACAGATATGTTTCTTTTGTATATTGTTTCTGTTGGTTTTCTTTCATGTCTTATCTCCACATATGCCTGGTGAGTTTTGATTATGTGTTGGTCATTGTATTTGCAAGTATGCTCGTAGAAATAATCTGGAATGGCCGGGCGCAGTGGCTCATGCCTGTAATCCCAGCACTTTGGGAGGCTGAGGCAGGTGGATCACGAGATCAGGAGATCAAGACCATCCTGGCTAACATGGTGAAACCCCATCTCTACTAAAAATACAAAAAATTAGCTGAGCATGGTGGCACGTTCCTGTAATCCCTGCTACTCGGGAGGCTGAGGCAGGAGAATCACTTGAACCAGGAGGCAGAGGTTGCAGTGAGCCGAGATCACGCCACTGCACTCCAGCCTGGGTGACAGAGCGAGACTCCGTCTCAAAAAAAAAAAAAAAAAAAAAAAAAGAAATAATCTAGAGCCTAGTTTGATGTTTCCTTACAAAGAATGAATTTATTTTTGCTTCTCCCATTGCAACTAGGATAACCTCAGTCTAGTTTCTGGAACTGAAATCACTTGAGGCTGAACTGTGGTCTCTGTGAGAGCGTGTCTGTGTATGGCTCACCCTTATTCCTAGGCTACGTAGTTCTTTAGGACCCTAACCCAAAGTAAGAGATGTTCATCAGGGCTCTCCTCTTGGCAGACGCCTGGGCTCCAGTCCCTGTGTCCTGAGCCCCATGAGGCTGTTACTGGTGCTGCTCGTCTGCCCATCCTCTCCAGTAACAGCCACCTGAACACTGCAATTCCTGGGTTTCCATCATTCCTTCCAGCCTGGTGAGTCATCAGTGTCTTTTGAGGTATCCAGTGCCTGCCAGCAGATGTTTTTTAATAATTTGTCCAGCATTTCTGGCTGTCCTCAGTAGGTGGTCTGTTTCACATTCCCTAGTCTGCTGTTAATGGAAAGTGGAAGTTCTGAGAGAGAATCATCGTTCCCGTCAGCATTCAAATGCCTGATTACACTTTCCCCATTCGCTATCCTTTCCTTTATTTGCTCCTCACCACAGCAAAACTCCTCAAAAATATCTATCTTTGCAATCTTCAGATTCTCACATTGTGTCCTTAAACCCACTTTAATCAGGCCTTGGTTCCCTCCATTCCACTAAAAGTAATGTTGTCAAGGTCGTGCATGCCTCCGTGATGCTAATTCCAGTGATGAGTTTTCAGTTGTCATTCTCTGACATATCGGCAACACTTGATGTGGAGTACCCTGATGTTGAGAGGCTGGTGAGATGAAGGAAAAACCCAGCCAAGGGCAATGAGGAATGGCTTCCTTCCGCCTCCTCCTTCCCTATCTTTGTTGTGGTTTTTGTTGTTTCTGTAACACTGATTACGTTATAGTTTATTTAATGTACTTCCTTATTCTATGTTTTTACTTTAGTCATTTTGTTGATCTCCTCCATAATAACATAGGCTCGGGCCAAGCACAGTGGCTCACGCCTGTAATCCCAGCACTTTGGGAGACCAAGATGGGTGGATCACTTGAGGTGAGGAGTTCGAGACCAGCCTGGCCAACATGGCGAAACCCTGTGCCTACTAAAAATACAAAAATTAGCTGGGCGTGGTAGCAAGCGCCTGTAATCCCAGCTACTAGGGAGGCTGAAGCAGGAGAATTGCAGGAGAATCACTTGAACCCAGGGGGCAGAGGTTGCAGTGAGCTGAGATCGCGCCACTGCACTCCAGCCTGGGTAACAGAGTGAGACTCTGTCTCAAAAAAAAAAAAAAAAAAAAGGCTTCAGGAGGGCAGAGCATTTTATGCAATTGTTCATTAATTGACCCCTCCATTTGGCACAGATCACATGCCCAGTAGTTAACTGTTAATCAACGCACTCTCTGTGGAACAACAGGCTGGTCCCGTTGAGCCAACACTCTCTGGGCACTGCCTTCACTAGACTCTGGCTGGCTGCTGCGCTTGTAGAGGTATGCAAGACAAAACCTTTTGGTATGTTAAAAGCCCTGGTCAGAACTTTAAGTAACCATCACTGACATATAATGGTTATGGTTTTGAAAGTGCTTTTATAGTGGTTTTTCATCTGTCCTCACAGCACCTCTGGGAGGTAGGTAGGACAGGTACAGTTAGTCTCATGTTTCAAATGGGGCTCAGAGAGGGAAAAGGATTTCCCAAGATCACACAGCACCTTAGTAGCAAAACTTGGACTCAACCTCAACACTTAAAAATGAACAAAGCTGGCCGGGCGCAGTGGCTCATGCCTGTAATCCTAGCACTTTGGGAGGCCCAGGCAGGCAGGTCACCTGAGGCCAGGAGTTTAAGATCAGCCTGGCCAACATGACAAAACTCTGTCTCTTCTAAAAATACAAAAAATTAGCCGGGCATGGTGGCGGGTGCCTGTAATCCCAGCTACTCAGGAGGCTGAGGCAGGAGAATCACTTGAACCTGGGAGATGGAGGCTGCAGTGAGCCGAGATCGTGCCATTGTACTCCAGCCTGGGCAACAAGAATGAAACTCCATCTCAAAAAAAAAAAAAAGAAAAGAAAAGAAAAAGAAAAGTTTCCCTTTTTTTAAATATCTCATTTTAATGACTGCATAATAGTTTATTACATAGTTATACCATAATTTATATAATATTTTGTTGCTGTACATTTAGGTTAAACAATACTTACTTAGTTCCTACTATGAAGAGGGGCCAAGTACTCGAGGCTGGAGCTCTCACATGTGGCAATGAAATTAGAAAGTGGATATGGCAGGGCTGTGGTAAAATAAAATATAAAAATAATAAATGATATTACCAAAGAAAAGGAAAGTTTTTCAAAATAAAGGAAAATCTAGACAAGCATAGTGGCTCACACCTGTAATCCCAGTACTTTTGGAGGCTGAGGCAGGAGGAACACTTGAGGCCAGGAGTTCAAGACCAGCCTGGGCAACATAGCAAGACCCCCTGTCAACAAAAATAAAAAAAAATTAGGCCAGGCACAGTGGCTCACGGTGGCTAGTGCCTGAAATCCTAGCACTTTGAGAGGCTGAGGGGGGTGGATTGCCTGAGCTCAGGAGTTCGAGACCAGCCTGGGCAACATGGCCAAACCCCATCTCTACTAAAAACACAAAAAATTAGCCAGGTGTGGCAGCACACGCCTTTAATCCCAGCTACTCTGGAGACTGAGGTAGGAGAATTGCTTGAACCCGGGAGGTGAAGGTCGCAGTGAGGTGAGATTACAACACTGCACTCCAGCCTGGGTGACAAAATGAGACTCTATCTCAAAAAAAAAAAAAATTAGCTGGGCATGGTGGTGCATGCCTGTAATCCCAGCTACTCAGGAACTAAGGTAGGAGGATCCCTTCAGCCCAGGAATTCGAAGATGCAGTGAGTCATGATCACACCACCGCACCCCAGCCTGGGTTACAGAGCAAGACCTTGTCTCTAAAAAACAAAGAAAGTCTAACCTAAACGCCATTATGTCATTTACATGTGTATAGGGGTGTGTGTGTGTGTGTGTGTGTGTGTGTGTGTGTGTGTGTGTGTGTGTGTTTGCTTGGGAGGGGAGTCGGGCTGGAGCTGGCCAGGCCGCAGCCTGGGGACCTTCTGATTCCAGCAGGGATGTGGGCCGAGGGTCCCGCCTTACTCATTTCGGGTCTTGCTCCTCTGTCCTGGCTCTACAGACTCTTCCAGCTGGAGTTGGAGGCTGACGCCCTAGTGAATTTCCATCAGTATTCTTCCCAGCTGCTACCCTTCTATGAGAGCTCCCCTCAGGTCCTGCACACTGAGGTCCTGCAGCACCTGACCGACCTCATCCGTAACCACCCCAGCTGGTCAGTGGCCCACCTGGCTGTGGAGCTAGGGATCCGCGAGTGCTTCCATCACAGCCGTATCATCAGGTGAGCAAGGGAACAAGACCATTTGGACAACGTGTGTGTACCTGCTTGTGTGGGCAGTGGGGGCCGCAGGCCTCGGTTCCCCTCCATAGTTTGACTTAAAAAGGAGCAGGGCCTGGCATGGTCGCTCACTAACGCAGTCCCAGCACTTTGGGAGGCTGAGGAGGGAGGATCACTTGAGACTAGGAGTTCAAGACCAGCCTGGCAAAATAGCAAGACCTTGTCTCTACGAAAAAATTAAAAAATTAGCATGTGTCTATACTCCTAGCTACTTGGGATGCTGAGGCAGGAGGATTGCTTGAGCCCAGGAGTTAGAGTTTACAGTGAGCTATGATTGCACCACTGCACTTCAGCCTGGGTGACAGAATGAGACCTTGTCTCTAGGAAAAAAAAAAAAAAAAAAAAAAAGGTGCTGCGTTGCTACCAGATTAAAATGTAAGAAGGACAATGTAATGTTTCCAGAGTCCGGAGTGCTCACCAGGTGCCAGGTCTGTGGGAGCTGATTTCTACCCACCATGAAATTGAATTTTCCCAACCCCCACAAGGTATCGTCATTTTATTTTACTTTATTTTATTTTATTTTATTTTATTTTATTTTATTTTATTTTATGTTACGTTATGTTATTTTATTTTGAGACGGAGTCTTATTCTGTCACCCAGGCTGGAGTGCAGTGGCGCGATCTTGGCTCACTGCACCCTCTGCCTCCTGGGTTCAGGTGATTCTCCTGCCTCAGCCTCCGGAATAGCTGGGATTACAGTAATGTGCCATCATGCCCGGGTAATTTTTTTTTTTTTTTTTTTTTTTTTTGAGACGGAGTCTCGCTCTGTCGCCCAGGCTGGAGTGCAGTGGCGCGATCTCGGCTCACTGCAAGCTCCGCCTCCCGGGTTCACGCCATTCTCCTGCCTCAGCCTCCCGCGTAGCTGGGACTACAGGCGCCCGCCACCACGCCCGGCTAATTTTTTTGTGTTTTTTAGTAGAGACGGGGTTTCACCATGTTGGCCAGGTTGGTCTCGAACTCCTAACCTCAGGTGATCTGCCCTCCTTGGCCTCCCAAAGTGCCGGGATTACAGGCGTGAGCCACCATGCCCGGCCCAGGTATCATCATTCTAGAGAGAGCTAACAGGACTTGTGCAGGTCACTCAGCCAGAGAGGGTGAAAGAGGGGCTTGGATCCTTGGTGTCTGCCCAGGCTGCTCTTCTGGAAGCTGAAGGCCTCCTTTTGTGAATCCATTCAGCCAGCAGATGGAGCAGCTGTTGCCCCTGGTGAGGGCACTGTCCCCACCCTTGCACAGGGCACCAGTTGGCCATCTTGTGCAGAGGTAGCCACACCTCCTCTGAGTCTCTATCCTAGATAGCTCAGTTAAGCTCCCAGGCCCAGAACTCAAAACCTCACTGCTGGCCGGGCGTGGTGGCTCACACCTGTAATCCCAGCACTTTGTGAGGCCGAGGCGGGTGTATCACTTGAGGTCAGGAGTTTGAGACCAGCCTGGCCAACGTGGTGAAACCCCGTCTCTACTAAAAATACAAAAAATTAGCAAGGCGTGGTGGCGCACGCCTGTAATCCCAGCTACTCGGGAGGCTGAGGCAGGAGAATTGCTTGAACCCAGAGGCGGAGGTTGCAGTGAGCCGAGATTGTGTCACTGCATTACAGCCTGGGCAACAAGAGTGAAACTCCACCTCAAAAAAACAAAACAAAACAAAAACCCTCACTGCACTTTAGTTTCCAGGCGTGCTTTTGGACAGCACTGTCTCATCTCACCATCACTCTGTCCATTTCCTGGGGCAGGCACAGCAGCTTGTGTCGATAAGGATATTGACGCCCAGAAAGGTTAAGTGAATTGCCTGAGGCTAGTGAGATATCCGTGTTCTGTGACCCTTTCCTGTGCCACCACCCTGCCCACTTCCTGCTGGTGTGGCCCTGGGGCCCATCTCTTGTACGAGTGAGCAAACTGAACAGAAACCTGATACAGGTCACATCAGATATAATTACATTCAAATCAGCCCAACTAGCTGAGTGGCGGGAATGCTCTTGAGCTCAAATAAACCAGAAAGTCCGAGTTTCCGAGTGCACTTCCCTGCATGTGCACTTAGGTCCCCCTGCCACCTTGTACCACACCTGCTCACCTCTGCTCACCCTGGCCCTCTCCTGCAGCTGTGCCAATTGCGCGGAGAACGAGGAGGGCTGCACACCCCTGCACCTGGCCTGCCGCAAGGGTGATGGGGAGATCCTGGTGGAGCTGGTGCAGTACTGCCACACTCAGATGGATGTCACCGACTACAAGGGAGAGACCGTCTTCCATTATGCTGTCCAGGGTGACAATTCTCAGGTGCTGCAGGTGAGCAGGGGGAGGGGCAGGGTGACTGGTACTGATACCTCCCGGTGTCCACGGTTCCCTTTGGGCCCCTAGGCTCAGGTGTCACTCTCAGGCCTCTCACTGTCCCCCATTGGTCCTTGAGGCCTGAGCTCCTTCATGGAGGGTGCAGACCCCTCCCTGGCTCTTCCCTCCCAGCCCTTTTCCAGGAGCCACGTCCTCAGTCTCTTTGCTTGATAAACCTGGGGACGGCCTCCAACCCAGCAAAATAAACCCCAAAAAAGGCCCAGCTCCAGTCAGTTAGTTCAGTTCCACTTTTCCTGAGCACAAACTGTGAGCCAGATGCCTGCCTGGAGGGGCTCGTGGGCCAGCGGGACCTGGGCTTAACCTTTTGCAAGCTTGTCCAATCTGTGGCCCTGCAGGCTGCATGCAGCCCAGGACGGCTTTGAATGTGGCCCAACACAAATTCACAAACTTTCTTAAAACATTATGAGATCCATGCATGGACCTTTTTTTTAGATCAGCTGTTGTTAGCGTTCATGTATTTTATGTGTGACCCAAGACAATTCTTCTGATGTGGCCCAGGGAGGCCAAAATATTGGACAACCCTATTTTACAGGAATTCAAACCAAGCAAACCAAACTGTCTCCAGTTCCTGTAGGCATTTGTGCCAGAGGCCCTCCTGTTAACGTTTTTGATTACCTGGGCAAAAGATGTGATTTTTTAATTGTGGGCAAGCAGATGGGGTGATACTATTAAATAGCTATTTCATATATTAGATTGAACAGAAAAGGCAGGATGTTGGATTATGTTTTATTGTCTAGAATTAGAAAATTCTTCTAAAGATCATGTTCTCTCTGCCTTGGCATCAGAATGCAACTACGTTATACCAGAAAATGTGGATTCCTTTTTTTTTTTTTTTTTTTTTTTTTTTGAGACAGAGTTTCCCTATGTCTCCCAGGCTAGAGTGCAGTGGTGCGATCTCGGCTCACTGCAACCTCCACCTCCTGGGTTGAAGTGATGCTCGTGCCTCAGCTTCCTGAGTAGCTGGGATTACAGGCATGTGCCACCATGCCTGGGTAGTTTCCGTATTTTTAGTAGGGATGGGGTTTTGCCATGTTGCCCAGGCTGGTCTCCAACTCCTGGCCTTAAGTGATCCACCTGCCTCAGCCTCCCAAAATGCCGGGATTACAGGTGTGAGCCACTGTGCCCGGCCCAGAAAATGTGGATTCATATCTTATGCTTCTTGCTCTCAGGGAAGGGAATTCTCCACCCACTGTTGAACTCCACTTTCACCGAGAATCCTCTGCGCACCCAGCATGGTGCCGCGCAGACCCTGCCTCCATGCGGGGGTGTGCACACCCGCTTCTCGATAGTCATGCACGACTGCAGCTGTCCTTTATCCGGTGCTGATTGGTGCCTGACCTTGAACTGAGTGTTGTATGTGTTCCAGTTAATTCTTAGAATACACTCATGGGGTGGAGGTCATTATTCCCCTTTCCTCTCCGAAGAAACTGAGGTTCAGTGTTGTTAATTAAGAAGCGTGCCCAGGGAGGGCCACAAAGCTGAGAGAGTGGGGCTTGACCTTACATTGGCCTCGATGCCAGCCCTTTGCTCTTCCTGCTGTGTCTCTGGCCTGCCTTCAGGTCCAGTGGGACTGCTGTGAGGTGACCCTGGTGTCACATGGGTACACTGTGGTTGTAATGAACCTCATGGGGACAGCACTGAGCCAAAAGTGAGACAGTAAAACCCTCCTAGCACTTTCTTTTTTTTGAGACAGCATCTAGCTCTGTCGCCCAGGCTGGAGTGCAGTGGTGTGATTGTGGCTCACTGCAGCCTCAACCTCCTGGACTCAGGTGATCCTCCCACCTCAGCCTCCTGAGCAGCTGGGACTACAGGCTCGTGCCACCACATGGGCTAATTTTTTTTTTTTTTGAGACGGAGTCTTGCTCTGTCGCCCAGGCTGGAGTGCAGTGGCGCGATCTTGGCTCACTGCAAGCTCTGCCTCCCGGGTTCATGCCATCCTCCTGCCTCAGCCTCCAGAGTAGCTGGGACTACAGGCGCCCGCCACCACACCCGGCTAATTTTTTTTGTATTTTTAGTAGAGACAGGGTTTCACCGTGTTCGCCAGGATGGTCTTGGTCTCCTGACCTTGTGATCCGCCTGCCTCGGCCTCCCAAAGTGCTGGGATTACAGGCGTGAGCCACCACACCCAGGCCACGCCAGCTAATTTTTAAAATTTTTTTGGTAAAGATGGGGTCTCCCTATGTTGCCGAGGCTGGTATCACACTCTTGGTCTCAAGTGATCCTCTCACCTCCCAGTGTGTTGGAATTACAAGCATGAGCCACTGCGCCTGGCCCCTGGCTCTCTTTTTAATACTGCTGTTCTTTCATTGAAAACATAGTACCTGCATGTAGAAAAAAATCAGTCAGGACAGAATGAAAAGCAAGAATCATTCCCACCTGGACCCCCAGTGCCCATCCTGAGATACAGCTACCTTTTAAGTTCCTTGACTCAGAAATGTTTCATGTGAGCCACAGTCATGCCAGGTCGACCCCTTCCCTCCCATCCACACTGGCACTTGGCTTTCCTGGTGCTTCTCTTTACGTTCTTTTTTTTTAGACAGAGTTTTTGCTCTATTGCCCAGGCTAGAGTGCAATGATGCAATCTCAGCTCACTGCAACCTCTGCCTCCTGGGTTCAAGCGATTCTCTTTCCTCAGGTTCCTGAGTAGCTGGGATTACAGGTGCCTGCCACCATGCCCGGCTAATTTTTGTATCGTTAGAAGAGACGACATTTCACCATGTTGGCCAGGCTGGTCTCAAACTCTTGACCTCAGGTGATCCACCCACCTTGGCCTCCCAAAGTGCTAGGATTACAGGCATGAGCCACTGCGCCCGGCCTCTTTACGTTCTTATCAGCATCCTATGGAGTCAAACTTCCCTTCCTCTTTCATCAGCTCCTTGGAAGGAACGCAGTGGCTGGCCTGAACCAGGTGAATAACCAAGGGCTGACCCCGCTGCACCTGGCCTGCCAGCTGGGGAAGCAGGAGATGGTCCGCGTGCTGCTGCTGTGCAATGCTCGGTGCAACATCATGGGCCCCAACGGCTACCCCATCCACTCGGCCATGAAGTTCTCTCAGAAGGGGTAAGACCTCCTCCCCTCCCCATCTGCTGGCCTGCTGGGCTCCAGCTCTCCTGTCACCTGTCCCGTGCCTGAGGCAAGCAGTATCCACCATAGATCTTAGCATCTCCAGCCTCAGAGCAGAGGCCCCGGGTTCACAAGCCTCATTAGGCCCCGCCTGGCCCAAAGAAGGTGCTCCATCATTGTATCATGGGTAGGAATCTCGGTTCACAAGTTCAGCTGTGCAAGGAGGAGACTTTAAAATTTTTCTGGCTGGGCGCGGTGTCTCACGCCTGTAATCCCAACACTTTGGGAGGCTGAGGTGGGCAGATCACCTGAGGTCGGGAGTTCGAGACCAGCCTGACCAACATGAAGAAACCCCATCTCTACTAAAAAATACAAAATTAGCTGGGCGTGGTGACACATGCCTGTAATCCCAGCTACTTGGAAGGCTGAGGCAGGAGAATCGGTTGAACCCGGGAGGCGGAGGTTGCAGTGAGCCGAGATCGCACCGTTGCACTCCAGCCTGGGCAATAAGAGCGAAACTGTCTCAAAAAATAAATAAATAAATAAATAAATAAATAAATAAAAATAAATTTATTTAATGTACCTTAATTCCTAGGAGTGAATCTCCCTCTATAAAACTGGAGACAACCAATCTTAGCCCTCTTTGGGGTCTCCTCTTTCCAGCTCCCCTCCAGGTGGTGCTCCAGTTCTGGAGTCTGATGCAACCCCAAGGCCCACCTGGCCCCTCCTCTAACCCAGCCCAGCCTGATCTGAACAGCCCCCCGATGGCTTCAGTGCTCCTTGGTTTCTTGTGTGCCCAGCTCAAAGCCTGGGAAATGCTTGGTAAGGTGGCCGAGTGCCCGTCCACCTAGATGCCTCTTTCCTTTCTGGCTGGTGGCACGTTGGGAGGCAGGTACAGGCTCATGTTTTGGGAGCCTGGGAACCCCTGGTGTCAGGAAAATTGTCTTCAAAGGGGTAGGGGATGAGATAAAAAGATAAATGAATATCTCAAATCTCAAAATACTATCTAGGCCAGGCGCGGTGGCTCACACCTGTAATCCCAGCAGTTTGGGAGGCCAAGGTGGGTGGATCACCTGAAGTCAGGAGTTCGAGACCAGCCTGACCAATATGGTGAAACCCTGTCTCTACTAAAAATACAAAAATTAGCCAGGTGTGGTGGTGTGTGCCTGTAGTCCCAGCTACTCAGGAGGCTGAGACAGGAGAATTGTTTGAAACTGGGAGGCAGAGGTTGCAGTGATTTGAGATTGTGCCACAGCACTCCAGCCAGGGCGACAGAACAAGACTCCATCTCAAGAAAAAAAATACTATCTAACAGGAACAACATCTAGAATGAATGAATGAGCCAATGAGTCCTTCGATCCTGGCACTGTGCTAAAGCACCAGCCTCACCGAAATGAATAAGCCACTCCAGGACAGGAGACACCCCAGCCACCCAGAATCTCATAGCGCAGTGCCAGACAAGCAGTGAGAAGGCATGGACGGGCAGCACTCAGGCAGGGAGGCTGGCACTTGTGCCTGTCCTCAGGTTGTTCCTTCCTCTGGGAGCTGCATCCACCTTGCTAGCCCCATGGGGCATTGCTAGCCCTTCTAAGGGCTGGACCAAGCCTGGACAAACCCTCCTTTCCTTGAATCTCCCAAGCACAGCCAGAATGAGCTAGAGCTTTCAGAAATACTTGACCAAACAGAGAAGATACCAACACCCCCAGCCCCGCAGTCAGGTTCCCCATTTGCAGGTTGTGACCTGAGTGGACACCAGGTGATGCTCTTCTCTACCCAGAGGGCTGGCACATGGCCCCACTCTTGCTTGTCTCCAGCCACCCTGAGCTGTACTGGGCAGGAGCTGTAATTGACCAGTTTTCTCTCTCTTCAAACAACCTCAGCCCTCACCGGTCCCTCTGTCCCCACACAGGCCATCCTGGGTGGGTCCAGCGTCCCATCACATAAGAGGATCTTTGCACAGAAGACAAAGGAAGAGGCTCCTACCTTGAGTGGAGCAGGGAGATCCCTTATCGACTTGGCAGCCAGCACAGCCCTACTCCAAGAATCCCACGGCCTCAGTGTTACTGACAAGTGGTTCCCTCACAGCTCAGACTAGGAGCTCCCTCGCTGTTTTTCTTTTTCTTTTCTTTTCTTTGTTTTGTTTTTGAGACAGAGTTTCACTCTGTCACCCAGGCTGGAGTGCAATGGCATGATCTTGGCTCACTGCAACCTCTGCCTCCCAGGTTCAACTGATTCTCCTGCCTCAGCCTCCCAAGGAGCTGGGATTACAGGTGTGCGCCACTATGCCCAGCTAATTTTTGTATTTTTAGTAGAGATGGGGTTTCATCATGTTGACCAGGCTAGTCTTGAACTCCTGACCTCAGGTGATCTACTTGCCTCGCCCTCCCAACATGCTGGGATTACAGGCGTGAGCCACCGCGCCTGGCCACCTCTGCTGTTTTTCAATGCAGCTGACCTTTCCCACAAAGCTCGGTTTGTGCCTGCGGTTCTCAGATGGTTAAGCCCCTGCTGAGGAAGGGAAACAGATAATCCCAGACAGTGAGATGGAGGCTGAGACTGAGGATGCCTGGGGGCTGCACTAGGAGCTCAGAGACGGCATCAGGCAGCTGGAGTTCAGGGAAGGTTTGGGGGCAGCAGAGCCCGAGCCAAGCCATGGACACTAGCCGGAGCTGGCCACTCGGGTGAAGACTTGGGGGGCTCCAGAGGGCCCAGGGAAAGAAGCTGGGCCTGACTCCATGTGCCTAGTGCTGAGCACCAAGCGCTGGCATAAGGGCTGTAGGGAGCTGGGCAGCATAAATCCTGGGCCTGTGCTGGGCACCCCTAATAATAGAGAACAGCAGCTGAACACTAACGCTGTCCCAGCCACCGGCTTAGCCTTCATGTGGGCTATTTCACTATAGCCCAGAGAGCTGATGTATTTTATTCCCCCTCTAAAGCTGAGGGCCAAGTGTGGTGGCTCATGCCTCTAATCCCAGCACTTTGGGAGGCTGAGGCAGGAGGATCGCTTGAGCCTAGGAGTTTGAGGCTACAGTGAGCTATGATCATGCCATTGCCCTCCAGCCTGGGTGACAAAGGGAAATCCTGTCTCAAACAAACAAACAAAAAACAGATGAGGAAACCAGGGCTTAGAGAGATTAAGTAATTTGCTCAAAGTCAGGCAGTCAGTAAGTGCCAGACCTGGGAATTAAACCCATGTGGGCTGTCCTAGTAATTGCACTAAAAAAAAAAAAAAAAAAAAGCTTTATTGAGATATAGTTCCTATTCCATACAATCCACCTATTGAAAGTATACAATGATTCTGATATATTATGTTTATTTTTTCCAACTGTGATAGATTATATATAACATAAAATTTGCCATTTTAACCACTTTTGTTTTTTGTTTTTGAGACAGAGTTTCGCTCTCGTTGCTCAGGCTGGAGTGCAATGGTGTGATCTCGGCTTACCGTTACCTCCACCTCCCGGGTTCAAGTGATTCTCCTGCCTCAGCCTCCCGAGTAGTAGCTGGGATTACAGGCATGCACCACCATGCCCAGTTAATTTTGTATTTTTTAGTAGAGACAGGGTTTCTCCATGTTGGTCAGGCTGGTCTCGAACTCCCGACCTCAGGTGATCCACCCACCTTGGCCTCCCAAAGTGCTGGGATTACAGGCGTGAGCCACCACACCCGGCCCATTTTAACCACTTTTAAGTGTACAATTCGGTGGTTTTAATCACATTTACAATGTTGTCCAACCATTACCCCTTTCTAAAACTTTTCTTATCACCTCAAACAGAAACTGTAACCATTAATAACTCCCGATTCTCCCCTCCCCACAGCCCCCGATAAGTCCCATATCCTCTCTGTCTCTCAGAACTTGCCTGTTCTAGAACCTCGTATCAGTGAAATCATACAGCGTTTGTCCTTTTGTGCCTGGCTTATTTCACTTAGCATGATGTCTTCAAGGCTCATCCATGTTGCAGCACGTATCAGAATTTCCTTTCTTTTTAAGGCAGAATACTATTTTGTTTATCCATTCAGTCCTTCACTGATAGACGCCTGGGTTGTTTCCACCTTTTGTCTGTTGTGAAGAATGCTGCTGTGTACATGGGTCTGCAAATGTCCATTCAAGTCCCTGCATTCCGTCCTTTGATACTTCCGACCTCAGGTGATCCGCCTGCCTCAGCCTCCCAAAGTGTTGGGATTACAGGCGTGAGACACCGCGCCCAGCCAGAAAAATTTTAAAGTCTTCTCCTTGCACAGCTGAACTTGTGAACCGAGATTCCTACCCATGATACAATGATGGAGCACTTTCTTTGGGCCAGGCGGGGCCTAATGAGGCTTGTGAACCCGGGGCCTCTGCTCTGAGGCTGGAGATGCTAAGATCTCTGGTGGACACTGCTTGCCTCAGGCACCGAGTAGAAAGCAATTGTGCTCTTTCCCACTCTGTCATACTGCTTCCTATAGCATGCAGGTCACTGTGTGACTCACTGACAGTGTGGTAAGGAGGTGGAGGGTGGCTGTGTGCCAGGCACAGAACTGGGCTCTGAAATGCCTGGTCTTCCTTACACCCCAGCCACTCCTCTCAGCACTCTCTCCATGTTGCTCAGCTTCTGGAGGCCACCAGTGAGGAAGCTGGGGCTTGACTTCAAGCCCATCTGACTCTAAAGCCAGTACCAGGGAGGGTGATCATTGCTGGTGGCAGCATCAGGAAGGCTTCCTGGAGGAGGGGGTTAGTTGTGCCTTGAGGGGCTCAGTACAGCCTTAACCATGGTGAGTGTGCTGGTTGGGTTTGCTGAACTTTGTTTGCAGTGATGCTCTCTGTAAGCAGTAGATGAAGCTCCAAGTCCTGGCTTCATCCCACGCCACGCAGACCCTAGCTTCTGCTCACCAACCGGGGCCCCTCTCTCACCAGGTGTGCGGAGATGATCATCAGCATGGACAGCAGCCAGATCCACAGCAAAGACCCCCGTTACGGAGCCAGCCCCCTCCACTGGGCCAAGAACGCAGAGGTGAGTGGATCCTGAGGTGGGTGGGTGGGGCAGGGGGCCGGGCCCCGCAGGTCCTCAGGGCCCTCAGGAAGCAGGTTCCCGAGAGGACCCTGAGGCTAGCACTTGGGGGCTGACCTTGCAGTGGGTGTGCAGGCAGAGAAGTCCATGAAGAGCTGGGATCCTGGCAGGGCTCTGCTGCTCTCTGGCTGGGCGGGGGGATCCGCCCTGTGCCTCAGTTTCCTCATCCATGAATTCTGCTTTGGCGATGTGATGAAGTCAGCAAGGCAGTGTGTGACAAAACTCGGCACAAATTGTAAAGTGCTTCCCAAATAGAAGGTGGCGTGATGATGATTGTATTATTAGTCAGGATTCTCTAGAGGGCCAGAACTAACAGGAGATATATATATAGAGAGAGAGGGGGGTTTATTTTTTTATTTTATTTTTTTTGAGACGGAGTCTCGCTCTGTCGCCCAGGCTGGAGTGCAGTGGCACAATCTTGGCTCACTGCAAGCTCTGCCTCCCAGGTTCATGCCATTCTCCTGCCTCAGCCTCCTGAGTAGCTGGGACTACAGGCGCCCGCCACCACACCCGGCTAATTTTTTTGTATTTTTAGTAGAGACGAGGTTTCACCGTGTTAGCCAGGATGGTCTCGATCTCCTGACCTCGTGATCTGCCTGCCTTGGCCTCCCAAAGTGCTGGGATTATAGGCGTGAGCCACCGTGCCTGGCCTAAAGGGGGATTTATTAAGGAGCATTAACTCACACGATCACAAGGTCCCACAATAGGCCATCGCAAGCTGAGGAGCAAGGAAGCCAGTCCAAGTCCCAGAGCTGAAGGACTTGGAGTCTGATGTTTGAGGGCAGGAAGCATCCAGCACGGGAGAAAGATGTAGGCTGGGAGGCTAAGCCAGTCTAGCCTTTTCACATTTTTTTCTGCCTGCTTTATATTCTGGCCGTGCTGGCAGCTGATTAGATGGTGCCCACCCAGATTAAGGGTAGGTCTGCCTTCCCCTACTGACTCAAATGTTAATCTCCGTTAGCAGCACCCTCTCAGACACACCCAGGGTCAATACTTTACATCCTTCAATCCAATCAAGTTGACACTCATTATTAACCATCAAGATGATGATGATGATGATGGATGATGATGGTGGTGGTGGTGGTGCTGGGCCTAGCTGCACACACAGGGAGCCTGGCTGGGCATCTCCTCTGAGTTCTTCCCCTAAGCTAAGCTCTGTCCTCCTGGGAGGATGGAGGCCTCTGGTCTCATCACCAGGAAGCACAGCTTGACAGAGAATGGGATGCCCCAGAGTTCATGGCCTACTTCTCAATGTGATGGGCCAGGAGGGAGGGCACTGCCAGCCTCAGGGTACCTCTGCATTCCAGGAGCCGGACACCGAGTCAGGCCCTTCCGTGTAGGTTTGGTCACTCATTGTCATCACATGCTGTGAGGTGGGGACTTGCATTCCCATCTTCACAGAAGCCCTGAAGTGCACATGGCTACAGTGACCCATCCAAGCGCAGGCAGCTGGGATGAGTGAAGCTGGGCTTTGGGCTCAGGTCTGTGACTCCAAAGCCAGGCTCCCCTCCCTGTTCCCAAGGCTCTGCCAGGGATGTGCATTGCCAAGGCCCAGTGAGAGGTGATACCTTTGCAGGGTTCCAGGGAGGGATGCAGGGAGCGGGGTGCTTCAGGACAGGCCCCAGAGGAGCCTTTGCAAGGAGAGTGGGTTCTGTTGGCACTAGGAAAGGACCAGAAGCCTCTTAAAACAGTCAGCACATCTTTGGCTTTTTGTCCCTAGTCTTGGGATGCTGATGGGATGGGAGGCAGTCTAGGCCCCCCTAGAACTGGGGCCTGCCCCTGGAATCCTCTTGCTAGCGCTTTCCAACATCCCAGTACCTGTAGGCCTCTCAGAGCAGAAGTGGCAGTGCCCACGTGTCCCGGGGTGCGGCAGCTCCCCGAGTGCCTGTGCTAACTCAGCCTGACCGTCTCCCGCAGATGGCCCGCATGCTGCTGAAACGGGGCTGCAACGTGAACAGCACCAGCTCCGCGGGGAACACGGCCCTGCACGTGGCGGTGATGCGCAACCGCTTCGACTGTGCCATAGTGCTGCTGACCCACGGGGCCAACGCGGATGCCCGCGGAGAGCACGGCAACACCCCGCTGCACCTGGCCATGTCGGTGAGCCCAGGACCGCGTGTCCTGCCCTGTGGGGCCCCGGTGGGAATGCAGGAGGGCTGTCCGGACTGGAGCCCTCCTCCCCACTGTCTCCCTCCTATCGTCAGCTGCTCCAAATCATCTTCCCACCCAAAGCTCAGTTCAGACCCTGACTCCTCCCTCAGGAAGCCTTCCAAGTCCCCCTCTCAGCCCAAAATAACACCACCTCCTGTGTGCTGTGGTACCTTTTCCACCTGTGCCCCCATTTGGCACTTGCATGGCACGAGAGGGAAAAATGACAGCTCTGGCCATAGACTGGCCCTGAGCAAGCCATGTCACCTGTCAGCCTCGATTTCCTCATCTGGAAAATGGTGGTGTCAATACTTATCTGGAAGAGTTGTGGAAAAGTTATGGTGGACACTTGGTCACCCTCTACAGAATGTCTAAGTGACACACGCAGTACCTGGCCCGAGTGAGCATCCTGCTTCCCTTCACTGGTCCGCGTGTTGCTCTCATCTTCCCTGGGAGGCTGTAAGATCCTGGCAGGCAAAGCCTGAGTGTGCAGCCCAGCAGCCTGTGGCAGGTGCCAGGCATATTCGTTGGTTTATTATAGAACACAGTTCCTGCCCTCAAAGCCCTTACTGTCTGGTTACACATCTAGAGTATGAACATATTAAACCTAGC
The DNA here is from genome assembly GCF_000001405.40 of Homo sapiens. NCBI lineage: Eukaryota > Metazoa > Chordata > Mammalia > Primates > Hominidae > Homo > Homo sapiens. The sequence continues at coordinate 38,132,170 of NC_000022.11, read as the reverse complement.
AGAGGAGGACGTTACTGTGTTACAGACATATGTGTGTGCATGTATTCTTTTTTTTCGAGATGGAGTCTCGCACTGTCGCCCAGGCTGGAGTGCAGTGGCGCGATCTCGGCTCACCACAACCTCCGCCTCCCAGGTTCAAGCGATTCTCCTGCCTCAGCCTCCCAAGTAGCTGGGACTGCAGGCACGTGCCACCATGCCCAGCTAATTTTTGTATTTTTAGTAGAGACGGGGTTTCACCACGTTGGCCAGGCTGGTCTCGAACTCCTGTGTTGGCCAGGCTGGTCTCAAACTCCTGACCTCATGATCCACCCGCCTTGGCACCCCAAAGTGCTGGGATTACAGGCGTGAGCCACCGCGCCCCACCGTGTGCACGTTTTCTATAGCAATACCGTATGTACAGAAGTCTGTTTACTGAGTCTCAGTGACAGAACATGAGAGACCCCCGGGACTCTAAAAGCTGATTCAGGACACATTCAGAGACATCCTGTTTTATACCAAAGGTCAAAACTTGGAAGAGATGTTGTTGCCCAAAAGGCTGAAACTATAAATAGTTTCATTTTTGAAACTGTGGACATTTTTAGCACTGGGTGGGCCCTTGGAATGATCTAACTCAGCAGTTCTCAAGTTTTTTGGCCTATTTGATCCCTTTATACTCTGAAAAATTATTGAGGATCACAAAGATTTTTTAATCATCTGGATTTTCTTTATCTATATTTACCATTTTAGAAATTTAAAGTGTGAAAATTTCAAAATATTAATTCATTTAAAAATAACAATAATAAATATATATGCCTACTATGTACCCACAAAAATTAAAATTAAAAATTTTTTAAAAAACTTAAAAAATAACTGGCCAGCTGCAGTGGCTCGTGTACACCAGCACTTTGGGAGGCCAAGATGGTCAGATCACCTGAGGCCAGGAGTTCGAGACCAGCCTGGCCAACATGGCGAAAGCCCATCTCTACTAAAAATGCAAAATTAGCTGGGTGTGAGACCTCTGAAAGGGTATCACGTGTTCACAGGGGTCCCCAGGTCTTACTTTAAGAACTGCTGATAGACTTTGGTCATCTTCATCCCATCTTCACAGTTTTTGGCATATTCATCAACCACCTTTACAATTATGTACTTAATCACCTCTTCAAATTGGCTTACTTTTATTTATTTATTTTGAGACAGAGTTTCGCTTTTGTTGCCCAGGCTGGAGTGCAATGGCACGATCTTGGCTCACCGCAACCTCTGCCTCCTGGGTTCAAGCGATTCTCCTGCCTCAGCTTCCCGAGTAGCTGGGATTACGTTCATGCGCCACCACACCTGGCTAATTTTGTATTTTTAGTAGAGACGGGGTTTCTCCATGTTGGTCAGGCTGGTCTTGAACTCCTGACCTCAGGTGTTCCACCTGCCTCAGCCTCCCAAACTGCTGGGATTACAAGCGTGAGCCACCGTGCCCGGCCTGGCTTACTTTTAAACTGACTTAAATTTATTTTGAGAGAAATGTTGCATCACTACCATAAATGGCCATCCATCCATCCAGTGCCAACCATAAAAGGTAACCAATGCAGGGCGCGGTGGCTCACGCCTGTAATCCCAGCATTTTGGGAGGCCGAGGTGGGCGAATCACGAGGTCAGGAGTTCAAGACCAGCCTGGCCAACATGGTGAAACCCTGTCTCTACTAAAAATACAAAAAATTAGCTGGGCGTAGTGGTGGGCACCTGTAATACCAGCTACTCTGGAGGCTGAGGCAGGAGAATTGCTTGAACTCGGTAGGTAGAGGTTGCAGTGAGCTGAGATCACGCCACTGCACTCCAGCCTGGGTGACAGAGTGAGACTCCGTCTCAAAAAAAACAAAACAAAACAGTAACAACAACAAAAAATCACAGTTAATGCTGAAAACACACACATATCTGTAGCCATAGAAGTCCTAATAGAATGTGAAGAACTGTTTGGAAAACCCCATTCTAGACCCACAGCTTCATTCTCTAGGCAGGGAAATCGGGTCCCAAGAAGAGGAAGGTGACAAGGCCAGAGCCCACAGTTCCAGGTGGCCAGTGTGTCCTCTGAAACCATGCCATGCTCTGCGCCCCTGCCCGGCCTCCAGGTGTGGAAATGTGTGACGTTCTTCGTGGGGACACTCCCCCGAAGGCTGCCATTAGGGGCACGTGTGTTCGGTTACCCCTCAGGGATGACACCCTGGACTGGGTGGGCAAGATGGCCTTCCCTGCCCTCACCCACCCTCTCCTTGCTACTCCTGAAAGCCATCAGCAGCTGACCTACTGTGTCCCCATGGCTCCTGGGTCGGGGTCACAGATGCACTGCATCTTTGGAGGCGGAGCTGGCAGAGCAGGGGCGAGTCACTTCTAGTTTCTGCCTGGGTTCTTACACCCTCCCCTGTGGGTGCTTTTAAGCCTGTTTGTCAGGTCCCCAGCCATCAAATGGCAGACTTTGGACTACCAGATTGACTTGGGTGGGGGTGAGGAGGGTTCCAGTGTCTCCCCGTGCTGAGGAGAGGCCCGCTGGGTGAGTTGACAGGTTGGGGCTGGCAGCCAGGGGCCCCTTTGTTCTTCACTTCCCCGGCAGTTGCACGTCTTATCCTCTCTCCATCTCCAACAGAAAGACAACGTGGAGATGATCAAGGCCCTCATCGTGTTCGGAGCAGAAGTGGACACCCCGAATGACTTTGGGGAGACTCCTACATTCCTAGCCTCCAAAATCGGCAGACGTATGTGCTCTGCACTCTGGGGCTGGAGTGGGGTGAGGGTTGGGTGGATACAGGGACCGAGGAGGAGGGAAGTCCCAGGCATCAGGTGCCAGCATCCTGTGCTGACCCGCCCTGCTCAGAGCTGCCAGGAGCACCTCGTACTCAGAGAGGGGGCTTCCTTACCCAAGCACAAGGGCCCTGAGCAGTAGATGCAGGCCCACCACGGGGCTTGCTATACCAGCATCCTCTCCCGTGCAGCGCCCCCCACCTCAGGGAGCTAAGATTCCCAGCAGGGGTGGGGACAGGAGAGCCAGCAGCAGCCTTCTTTCCCCACCGTTGGGGAATTCACTGATGGAACCACTGGCTAGAATGACCAAGGGTGCATGCACTACACTGCACGAGCTCTGGGCATGCCTGTGTGGGCAGAGTGCATGGCCATGTGCTGCACGCTCGCACAGTGAGCCTTAGCTTCAGAGCTGGACAGAGCAGATCCTCCTCACCAGAGGCCTGGAGCCCGCTCTGGAGGGTTTCAGCAGCTGTGGGGGTCACTGTGGGCAGGTACCTGATGGCAGCAGTGTGTGTGTGCCAGTGCACACGTGTGTGTCTGCATGCACCGCATCTATGACCTCCTTTTCAGCAATCCCATCCATCAAATGGAGTAGGTGCCCCCTGGCTGGCTCATTAGTCCCTTTGGAACCCTGAACTATCACTTAGCATTTTTGAGAATCACTGAATGTGGCCATGGGATTCCTGCTTTCTTGGCTGGAGTAGAAGGAAAGAAGGGGTTCCCACAGGCATCGGGCAGGGTGACACTGACCTCCTCCTCCCATATCCTCCTTCCCTGGCCTTAGGAAGCTGCTTGGGATGTACCAGCCTGGGGGCAGCACTCCCTGTCAGGGTGGGCTGAGGCCTCTGGAGCAGCCCACGTGCCCAGGGCCTGGGAGCTGGGACAGGGGACGGAGTGTGGAAAGGAGGGGCCTCTCCTTTGCATGTTGACATCATTTCTGATCCTGTGCCATCTCCCCTTCCCCAAACCATGACAAGTTGTCACCAGGAAGGCGATCTTGACTCTGCTGAGAACCGTGGGGGCCGAATACTGCTTCCCACCCATCCACGGGGTCCCCGCGGAGCAGGGCTCTGCAGCGCCACATCATCCCTTCTCCCTGGAAAGAGCTCAGCCCCCACCGATCAGCCTAAACAACCTAGGTAGGCCTCGCCTCCCGACTCCCTCTTCTCCAGCTGGTTCCCAGGCCCCTGGATCACAGCAGGCCCCACCAAAGCAACAGGATCCCTAGGACGGAAGTCACTAAAGGAAGCCGGGGAGGATGGGGCCGGAGTTGTCAGCCTCTAGGCAGCCAGCAACCCACAGATCCCAGAGGCCTAGGGTGTCCCTGGCTGATGTCCCATGCTCCGTTGCCCCTGAGAGGATGTGTCCTGCACACAGTCTCAGGCCTGGGCATTTCCAGTGGCACCCATGAGGTGGCTGCTGTTACTGCCCTCCTGTCCCCAGGGCGTTCAGGGTGGGCAGTGAGGAGTGCTGTCGGGGGACTGGGGGCCCGGGCCCTCTGGCTTCACCTGTCCCTCTGGCTTCACCTCTATCACACTGTTTGAATCTCGGTTGGGCCTGAGACCTGTGTGCCCCCTTCCTGGCCCCGTGGTGACTTTCAGACGTTGAATGTGGCCAGGCAGCCAGCATCTGCCCCGGTGCATTCCTTGGTGCCCAGGGAGACATCCCCAGACTAGACAGGACCCTTCTCTGGACTTTCTGTGGGCTGGCCCACTCAGGGACCTCCATTGTTTGGGAGCGGGGTCCCCTGAACAGAGGGCAGCCAGGAGCCAGTCCTTGGTGAGCCAGACTTCACTGTGGAGGCGGCAGCACCTTCAGCCAGGGTAGCCCGACCAAGCCTGGAACTCTGGAGAGGCACCGTGACTGTGGCTTCTAGTCCTGGCTCCACCTCTCTCTCCCCTCCCAGGAACTCCCCCTCCACCTCCCATCTTTATCTCTCAATTTTGCAGGCAGTCACCCAAGCCAGGCCGGATGGTGGGCCTGGGGTGCGGCGTCAGATGGGTAACGCCCTGGGCCTGGAGAGGCCACCGAGCCTAGCCATGCGGCATTAGCTCTAGCTCTCACTCCCTAATCCGTCCTTCTTAGCTGCGCACACACCACACGCCCCCTCCCCTGCACCCTGTCCCCGGCCTCTCTCAGCCACTCTTCTGCTTCCCTTGTTCACTGTGGAGCCGTGTGCCCTGGGGAGGGGGAGACACCGCTTCGCAGCCCTCGGTTCTGCTTTGCTGCTTCTAGACTCTGCACAGTGGTGGGGGGCTGTCAGAGTTGGGGTCACGCGGGCTGCTGCACCAGGCACCTGGGGACTGGGCTGCTTGTCAGGAGGGGCAGCTAGTCAGTTGGGTGGACGTCAGGCAGGCCTTGGACACAAAGGAAGACATGGACAGAGTGGATGGTGGGCCTGATCCCGGAGGCCACTGGGATTTCCAGACCTGGGATCAGGACGAGGGATGTCTCCTTTCATCCATGGACTTAAACCCCGAGGAACGTCCTGACTCAGCCTTTTGACTAAATGACCTTGGGTGAATTATGGACCCTCTTAGAGCCTCACCTGTCAATAGGGAATAAGAATTCTTAGGCCCCAGGTGGTTATTGCAGCATCGGCTCCGATGCAAGAAGAAGCACTTTGTCTGAAGAGGACACGCAAGGGTATTCATGCCTTGGGGTTTCAAGAGGAAGAGATTGAGGGGAACCTGGGAGCTGGCTGGGCAGGGTGGGGAGCCCTTCCCAGAGCAGTGGGCCCCCCTTTCCACTCCAGCCCATTTCTCTCCTGTGGCCTGTGGCTCAGCTTTCTCCTGGGACAGAGTCCTTCCTGTGGGGAAGGGACAGATGACAGGGGGAGTGGGGGGATGAGGGCGTGGCCGTGGGCGAGGCACAGCCCAGGTTTGATCTAGGGACCTCTGGGGTAGCAGGGCTTGGGGACCCACCTGACCACAGCATGCCCTGCTCTGTGCCTCACAGAACTACAGGATCTCATGCACATCTCACGGGCCCGGAAGCCAGCGTTCATCCTGGGCTCCATGAGGGACGAGAAGCGGACGTAAGTGGATCGAGATCGGGGGCAGAGCGGGGAACGTGTGCGCTTTCCTGCCCCTCACCCACCCCCTGTTGTGGGCTCAGGGCTTTACTCTCTGCACCCTCACAGCCGGCGAAGTGGCTCTGCTCCTAGTCTTATAGTTCTCAGCAGAGACAGAACATGGAGAGCCTGTGTCGCTCGTTCATTAATGCTGGGCGGTGCAGGCTCTGGAGACCAGCCCAGGGTGCCAGGCTTCTTGGACTTGGTGGGGCTGGCGCAGTGTTCTGGCCTCCCTCCCTGATCTCCTTATGGCTAGAAGAGGGGGAGATGCCTGGGTCCCCCCTGGGGAGATCTCAGCAGCTGCTTCCCACTGCTCCTACTGGCTTCCTTAACCACCTCCCACTGCAGAATAGTGGCGTGGGCTGCCTTCCCCAGCACCTGCTGTATACCTAGTCCCATTGTAAGAGGCGGGCCTGGGTGACAGGATGCAAAGAGAAGACGCCCAGGCCTTGCCCTTCAGGCATAATCCCGGGTGCTTGAACTCAGTGCCAGCTGGCACGGCAAGGTACCAGGACAAATGCGTTTCCAGCCACTGTGCTGTCGCCACCTCCCTTGATTGCTGCAGTTGATTCATTTATTCTTTATTAGTCTCTCATGTTCCTAATAGCCTTCCCAGGGAGGAATTTGTAACCTTGTTTTACAGATGCAGAACCTGAGCCCCTGAGAGGTGAAGTGACTTGCTCAAGGTCACACGGAGTGAGTGTCAGGGTGGCAACTCACAGCCGGGTCTTCCGAACCCACGTCCTTTGTGCTACCGCAGGCTCTCTCTGGGTTCTCTGTGGACTCTATACCTAGTGCCAGCCCTCTGCAGGGAAAGCTCTCTTCTCAGAATCAGAGGCAGCTCCACTCCCAGGGCCAGGCAGTGATCGTGCAGCTCTGTGGGTCCTCTCACTTCGCACTCACTTCCATGCTACCCTGTTGTGTGCCCTGGAGGTTCCCCTGCCCCATCAGCATTCCCTCCCCTGTGCCCCCTGCATGCTCTTGCACGCGGGCACACGCACACACACACGCACACATGCACGCACACACACCCACATGCACATGCCTGCGGGTTGCCCACATGCATGTGTTGCCCACATGCAAACACATGGACACGCACACACATGCACACATGCAAACACACGTGCATGCACACACATACACATGCGCACACATACACATGCATGCATGCACATGGACACCCACACACATGCACACACATGTACACACATGCATGTACATACACACACCTGTGCAGGGGCTGAGGTGAGGCAGCTGCACCTGAAGGGGGGACCCACATTTCCCAAGGGAGGAAAAGCAGATTCCCCAGATTCTGGAGCCTCAGAACCCTGCCTGGAGCGGGGCTGAGGCAAGAGTCAGGAGACCCCTCGGTAGCTCCCCACTTGGGCCTTCCAAGCTACAGAGCCCTGCGCCCTCTGGGTTGATCTCTGTCGCCAGCCCCGCATCTTCGGGAGTTTGCTTTGGCCTCCAGCAACAGTGTAGTCTCTCCCCTGCCACCTCTAGGCTTGCTGTGGGGCTGGGTACCTGGTCCAGGAAAAGACCCCTAGAGGTGGGACCCGGGCCTCCTCCATTTATCAGCCCTCTTGGGCACCTCCTGCATCCCCTTGACACACAGCGCTGCCCAGAGCAGAGGCGGCTTCTGCCCTGGTGGAGCTTCCAGGTCAGCGCAGGAGAGAGTAAAAGAAAGATTGCGAATGGAATGGAAGCAGCCTCCACCAGGAAGCAGGTGGAGCAGCAGGCGGGCTGTGAGGGAGGGTCTCGATGGCATCAGGGCAGGCTTCTCTCAGCTTCATCAAGCTGAGATGGGAAGATGAGAAGATCAGAGGAAGGTTCCAGACTGAACCAACCACAAAGGCATTCCCCCAGGGCATGGCCAATGAGGACAGGCAGGATGTGGGGAGACGTGTCAGGGCGCGCTGGAGAGCATGTGACTCAGGAGGCGGCAGACCTGGGTCCAGGTCCAGTCCGCATCCATATGACTTGGTTCCCGTCACCTAACCTCTGAGCTACACTCCCTCCGTCACTCAAAAATATGCACAGAGAGTAGGCGCAGTGGCTCCTGCCTGTAGTCCCAGCTACTCGGGAGGATCACTTGAGCTCAGAAGGTTGAGGCTGCCGTGAACTGTGATTGCACCACCACACACCAGCCTGGGTGACAGAGTGAGACCCTGTCTCTATAAATAAATAAATAAATAAATAAGGCTGGGCACGGTGGCTCGTGCCTGTAATCCCAGCACTTTGGGAGGCCGAGACAGGCGGATCACATGAGGTCGGGAGTTCAAGACCAGCCTGGCCAACATGGAGAAACCCCGTCTCTATTAAAAATACAAAATTAGCTGGGTGTGGTGGCGGGCACCTGTGATCCCAGCTACTCGGGAGGTTGAGGCAGGAGAATCGTTTGAACCCGGGAGGCAGAGGTTGCGGTGAGCCGAGATCGCGTTATTGCACTCCAGCCTGGGCAACAAGAGTGAAACTCCGTCTCTAAATAAATAAGCACAGGGATGTCAGGGAGGGTCTGCCTCAGAGGCGTTTGGGACAATGACATGAGCTAATGCTGGTAGCACCCCTCCCATAGCCCCTGGCATGAACCTCTCCCTTCCTCCCTGCCCCCTCCTCCCCTGCTTCTTCCACCTTGTGTGGAGGCCCTGATACTCTGTCACTGCCCATTCCTGGCCTGGCTGTAGGGTCCCCGCCCCTCCTTCCCCAGCCTTATTTAATTCCAACAGACTTTATCAGGCACCTGCTTTGGATCAGGCCTGATACTGACCAAAATCAGGTGTCCCAAGTTGGGGAGACTGGCCGAGATCCTGCTGGGATGGCGCCTGGTCAGTGATGCTATCCCCCGACCTTCCTTTCCCTTTCTCTGTTGCACTCTCCAGCCCCTGAAATACTAGACATTTGTTCCTTTACTGCCCTCACCCCCACCCTCGCTGTCCTGCATAGGACAGAAGTTCCTCGGGTCCGTCTGGGTCTGTCTGCCAGGACACAGCTGCAGGGGACAAGGGCTATGAGGGTGGATGTAAAGTACTGGGCTGTGGCAGGACCCTCCTCTCTCCCACTGCTGTTCCCACTGCAGCCACGACCACCTGCTGTGCCTGGATGGAGGAGGAGTGAAAGGCCTCATCATCATCCAGCTCCTCATCGCCATCGAGAAGGCCTCGGGTGTGGCCACCAAGGACCTGTTTGACTGGGTGGCGGGCACCAGCACTGGAGGCATCCTGGCCCTGGCCATTCTGCACAGTGAGGGCGGCCCCTGGGGATGGGGCCAGGCGGGGCTGAGACCTGTGTCCTCAAGGGGCCGAGTTTGTCTTCAGGGCTTTGCAAAAAGAGAGTGGAGGAGTAGAGGAGGGCTATAAGCACTTTGAGGAGGCAGGGGCGGGGCTGCAGGTGCTGAGGTCCCAGGCTGGAAGGAGAAGGGCTGGGCCCATGGGCTTGGGTTTGGGGATCCCCCGCCCTCTGGCCACAGAGGGTAGAGCTGGCTGTGTGAAATTTTGGCATAGGAAGCGTTTCCTATCGACTGCCTTAACCCCTCCTCCCCTCACCCCTGCAAAGCAGGCACCAGGGGCCACACAGCCTGCTGCACATAAGGAATCCCATTCCCAGGGTGCACGCAGCAGGCAGTCTCAGGAATGAGGAGCCACTGAGCCTCAGGATGCCAGAGCCCTCGCCTGCACACTTCATTTTACTGGGAAATTTTACTGGGAAATTAAGTTCCCAGGTGGGGAGGGATGACGTGAAGTCACATAGCTCATCCATGGGGTCGCTGGGCTGGAGCACAGTCCCCTAGACTCCCAGCCTGGCACCTCCTAGGCCACAGGGCACTGTGTAGTCTCCTTTCACTGCCGCTTTGCGAAGGCGCCTGGCTTGCTGGACAGATAGCCGGGTGGTCAGTGTTGTGACGGCTCCTCTGTGGAGCTGTCTGAGCTTCTAGGTGCTGACAGGTGGGGAGGGGCACTGCCAGATCAGGGTCCTCAGCTCCCCCCAACCCCCTGGACATTGTCCTGGGACTCAACATGTCTGACTGGTGCCCCTGCCCCTGTGCTGGTCAGATTCCATTTTCTCCAGAGCGCCCCCACATCTGGATCCTGGTCATGCAAAGTCTTGGAGGTGCCCGGGGAGGACTCCCCACCCTAGGGTGGGTATCAGGGCCTGTGGGCCAGGCCTGTGTTGGATGCTGGGGATGCAGAGCTGAGCCAGGCATACCCCAGCCTCAGGAGCAGGGGGCTCAGCCAGTCCAGGAGGTGCTGGGGACAGAGTCCCATGGGCGGAGGAGGAGAGTCATCTGTCAAGTTGCCGGGACGTTAGTGTCCACGGCGGTTTATTGACTGGTATTTCATTTCCTTTTGATGATTCTCACCATAGCCCTGCGGGGTGAGCAGATGGGGAAACTGAGAACCAGAGAGGATCAGCCAGTGAATTGGGCAGTCAGGACTGGGTCTCCAGCAGTGTGCCCAGCTCTCTACCCCAGCCTCAGGGTCCCAGCATCCCCTCTCTGGTCTTCCACAGGGTCCAAGGGCGGGCACGAGGTCTGAGCAGGCAGACTGGGCAGAGTCCTAGCTTCTTCTCCAAAAGGGCCACGTCCTTCTTCAGGGACCATTTCTTCCCCATCCGGGGTCTTGAGACTCCCAGGGGCCATGGAGGGGATTTGAGAGGTCTCCTGGCTGATCCTCCGGTGTGGGCAGATGGCCTCCTTTCAGCTACCCTCTGCTTGTACATCCCTGGCCCTGGGGAACTCACTGCCTCACGGGGGAAGTGGGGCAGCTTCTCCTTCCTGGAGGTGCAGCCGGCCCCTTGGCCCTGTCTGTTCTGAAGGCTCAAAGGACAGGGCTATTCCTTGTTTTCTGTGACAAACAACGTGGGTCTAGCTTTTATAAGCTTTTACTCTTGAGGGGCTCTTCTTTAAGGAAAATAATACAAAATCATGAATACAAGATGAAGTGCAGAGCCGTGGGGCTTCAGTGGTTTTTGAGTCTCTCCGTTGCCCAGGCTGGAGTGCAGTGGTGCATCTTGGCTCACTGCAACCTCCGCTCCCGGGTTCAAGCGATTCTCCTGCCTCTCAGCCTCCCGAGTAGCTGGGACTACAGGCGCCCGCCACCACACCTGGCGAATTTTTGTATTTTTAATAGACGGGGTTTCACCATGTTGGGCAGGCTGGTCTCAAACTCCTGACCTCAAGTGATCCACCTGCCTCAGCCTCCCAAAGTGCTGGGATTACAGGCGCGAGCCACCATGTCCAGCCGGAAGGAGGTTTCTCTCTGTCTGTCTGGGAGGTTGCAAAGGAAGGGCCCAGAATTTGGGTTTGCTTAGGCCTCGGTAAACCCGCTTCCTCCTGCCACCTCCTGCGTTCAGGCGCTCTGCAGGCTGTTCTACGGGAGCCCTGCGTGTGGCCGCTGCATCTCCCCGCCTCTGACCCCTTTGTTCCTAGGTAAGTCCATGGCCTACATGCGCGGCATGTACTTTCGCATGAAGGATGAGGTGTTCCGGGGCTCCAGGCCCTACGAGTCGGGGCCCCTGGAGGAGTTCCTGAAGCGGGAGTTTGGGGAGCACACCAAGATGACGGACGTCAGGAAACCCAAGTAAGCCCTGGCGCACTGGGGCCGTGGCCGCAGCTGTGCCCACTGTGGCTGTTCCCTGGGGACAGAGGGCTCCCTGTCCTGCTGAGGGAGGGGGAAGAGCGCCCCACGCTTGAGGGGAGCAGAGGGAACCCCCTTCCCAGGGAGGCAGAGGGCTGGGGTGTGGCTCTCACTTGGGCATGCAGACACCTGCTGAGCGCAGGAGGGGCGTGGCCTGGTGGGCCTGGCTCTGCCCTGCCTGGCTCTGCCCTGCCCGGCTCTGCCCTGCCGGCTCTGCCCTGCCTGGCTCTGCCCTGCCCGGCCAGGGGTCTGGGGCTTGCCTGGAGAGAGCCTGGGCCACCCTTCTCTGAGACCACCTGGGCAGAGGCTGGGTTTTTGCTGCCCAGGCAAAAGGAACCCACTGGCCTTTCAAATGACACGGCTAAACATTTTCTCACATTTCAGACAGCACTCGCTCCCAGGATCGGACTACTAGGTTATAATCAGAGGGCTTCAGTCTTACCTTTAATTTAAGGCCTACAAGACTTGAACTAATTTAAGTCAGACTGAAGGAGAAAGTCACATTTCCAGGAAACATTTGTTTGGGAAGCCCAAATCCTAGGACTAAGCAATGCATCCCGTTCGGGGCTGGATGAATGGTGTGTTCCAAGAGGAGTGTTTTGAGCATTTCTGAGTGATTTTTTCATATTTTGAAAGTGAGTGTCCCCCAGTCTTAGGGGCCCGGCATCCCCTCTGCGGTCTTCCCTAGGGTCCAAGGCCAGGGACCTTCAATCTTTTTTCCCACTCTGTGGCTTGTCTTTCTGCTCTGTGGTGTTTCTAGGTTTTTGTTTTTTGTTTTTTGTTTTGGTTTTGGTTTTGGTGGCCCATGTTCTTAATGAGGTAGATAATATTTATAAATATTTTTCTTCTTGTAGTTTGTGATTTTTTCCTTTCTTTCTTTCTTTTTTTTGAAACAGGGTCTTGCTGTGGGGCCCATGCTGGAGTATATTGCTGTGAACACGGCTTACTGCAGCCTCGACCTCCTGGGTTCAAGCAGTCCTCCCATCTCAGCCGCCTGAGTGCCTGGGACTACTAGCATGTGCCAACACATGTATTTTTTGTAGAGATGGGGTTTCACCATGTTGTCCAGGCTAGTCTTGAACTCCTGAGCTGAGGCGATCCTCCCGCCTTGGTTTCCCATTACAGGCATCAGCCACCATGCCCAGCCTAGTTTGTGCTTTTTATTTCTCGTTCATAAACCCCTTTGCTGCCCCCAAGCAGCACACGATTCTCCTGTGTCGAGCTGGAAAGCTCTCTAGATCTGCCTTTTACATTGAGGTCTTTTATCAACCTGGAATTGATTTTTGTATGAGGGTGAAATCCAAGATCCAATTTAATGTTTTCCACGTGATTGGCCAATTTTTCCCAGCCCCATCTGTGAAGTCTGTCCTTCCCTCCGCTTCCTCAGCAGTGGGTCAAGCATCCCTCTGCTCTTGGATCTGCTCCAGGCTGTGTTTTGTTCCACTGGTTGGAAAGCTGTCTCTGTGCCCGGACCACAGAGCATAAAAAACTACCGCTGTGTGGTGAGTCCTGGTGTCTGGGTGGCAGATCCTCCACCTTGGCCTTCTTCAAAAACATCATGGCTATTCTTGGGGGCAGTAGAGAGAAGTGGATACAAGCATAGACCCTGAAGTTTCTACCTCTTCTCAAAAATAGGAATATGCCAGGCATGGTGGCTCAAGCCTGTAATCCCAGCTCTTTGGGAGGCTGAGGCAGGAGGATCACTTGAGGCCAGGAGGTCGAGACCAGCCTGGGCAACATAGTGAGACCCTCATCTCTACAAAAAATTTAAAACTAACAATTAGCTGGGCATGGTGGCACTATGGCTGTAGTCCCAGCTAATTGAGAGGCTGAGGTGGGAGGATCACTTGAGCCCCGGAGGCTGAGGCTACAGTGGGCTGTGATCCCATCACTGCACTCCAGCCTGGGCAATAGAGTGAGACCCTGTCTTAAGACAAAAAAAAAAAAACAAAAACAAACAAACTCACAAACTATAAAAAGAAAAAATATTTATAAATTCTACTCCATTAAGAACATGGGTCCATCCAAATAAATAAATAAAACAAAAACACCATAAAGGGAGTAAAAAGACAAGCCACAGAGTGGGAGAAAAGATTTCGAATCCATACATCCATCAAAGGACTCATTTTCAAAATATGAAAAGATCATTCAGAAATGCTCAAAATAGTAACCACCATTTTACTTTCTCTTCCTATGAGTTTAACTGCTCCAGGTACTGTTAAGTAAAATTTTTAGGGGATAATTGATTTGGACCAGGATTCTGTACCAGGCCCAACAGAAGAAACGAATATGGAGTCATTCATGCCAAGTGAACCTAGTTAGCTTAGGCGTATACCCATGTAACAAATAGCTGAGTTCTGGTTAGCTACAACAGCTAAGCTTTAATCAATCATAGATGGCCACCTGATTCAAACAAGGCAAACCAATTAAGCTCCACACCTCACTTTGGTTTTCAGCCCATCAACACTGCCTGACCACGTTGCAGGCCAGAGTTCTTTGAACCTATTCTGGTTTTGTGGCCTGCCTGACTCTCAGTTCATCAATAAAAGCCAATTAACATCTTTAAATTTGTTGCAATTTTATCTTTGACCGTACCTTATGTAAGTGGAATCATACAGTATTTGTCTTTTTGTGACTGGCTTATTTCTTTCTTTTTTTTTTTTTTTGAGATGGAGTCTTGCTCTATCACCCAGGCTGGAGTGCAGTGGCGCGATCTCGGCTCACTGCAATTTCTGCTTCCCAGGTTCAAGTGATTCTCCTGCCTCAGCCTCCGGAGTAGCTGGGATTATAGGCGTGCACCACCATGCCCGGCTAATTTTTTGTATTTTAGTAGAGACAGGGTTTCACCATGTTGGCCAGGCCAGTCTCAAACTCCTAACCTCGTGATCCACCCACCTCGGCCTCCCAAAGTGCTGGGATTACAGGGGTGAGCCACCGTGCCCGGCCATGACTGGCTTATTTCACTTGGCATCCATGTTGTAGCGTGTGTCAGAATTTCCTTCCTTTTTAAGGCTGAAAAACTCCATTGTCTGTTGGATACACGTTTTGCTTCTCCATTCATCCATTGATGGATATTTTAGTTGTAAATTGACTGCTGTCAATGTCGGATGTGCAAATACCTGTTTGAGGCCTACTCTCTCTTACTGGTGCCTTCTCTAGAGAGAATTCTGATGGGTTCAGTTTGATCATATTTTGTTTAAGATTTTTGGCCAGGCGCAGTGGCTCACGCTTGTAATCCCAGCACTTTGGGAGGCCGAGGTGGGCGGATCATGAGGTCAGGAGATCAAGACCACAGTGAAACCCCATCTCTACTAAAAATACAAAAAATTAGCCGGGCGTGGTGGCGGGCGCCTGTAGTCCCAGCTACTCAGAGAGGCTGAGGCAGGAGAATGGCGTGAACCCGGGAGGCAGATCTTGCAGTGAGCCGAGATTGCGCCACTGTACTACAGCCTGGGCAACAGAGTGAGACTCCGTCTCAAAAAAAAGATTTTTGTGTCCACGCTCGTGGGCGAACTTGACCCGTTTTTTCCTATTTTGGGTTTTGAGGAAATATTTCCTCTTTTTATTTTTCTTGGAAGAGTTAGTATAATAGTTTATTTTGAATTTATGGTAGAACTTGATAGTAAATTCTTCTAGGCCTGGAGTTTGCTTGGTGGGAGGATTTTTGATGATGGAATTAATTTCTATAGTGGTTGTGAGACTGACCACTCGGGGTTTCTAAATACCTTTTTGAGTTAGTTTTGGTTAAGTGAGGTTTTTCTAGGAATGTGTCCATTTCATCTAAATCTTTAAGCTTATTGGCTTAGAGTTGTTCAAAATATTCTGTTTTTTTTTTTTTTTTTTTTTTTTTGAGACGGAGTTTCACTCTTATCGCCCAGGCTGGAGTGCAATGACGTGATCTCGGCTCACTGCAACCTCTGCCTCCTGGGTTCAAGCAATTCTCTTGCTTCAGCCTCCCAAGTAGCTGGGATTACAGGCATGCGCAACCACACCTAATTTTTGTATTATTAGTAGAGACGGGGTTTCCCCATGTTGGCCAGGCTGGTCTCGAACTCCTGACCTCAGGTGATCCACCTGCCTCGGCCTCCCAAAGTGCTGGGATTACAGACATGAGCCACCATGCCCAGCCGATTCTCCTTTTTCTAACGTCTGCAGTGTGTGTTGGTGCGGCCCCCTTTTCTTTCCTGATTTTGATAACAGATAACAGCCATGTTTTATCAGTCTTGCAACAGGTTTTTCCATTGGATTAGCCTTTCAAAAAAACCAACTTTTGCTGAATTGTGCCCCCAAGGTTGGACCAATCTGACACTCCTCCAGCACTGCCGGAGAGAGCCTGTTTTGCGGGGATGGTGCGGGGAGAAGCCCACCTATCCCGAACAGAGGTTGGAGTGGGCACTCTGCTACCCAAGGCCCTGGGGTGTGAATTGTGGGGAAAGGGAAAGGTGGATGGGCGGGTGGCTCAGCCGTCCTCCTGCCTCATTTCTCTCCAGGGTGATGCTGACAGGGACACTGTCTGACCGGCAGCCGGCTGAACTCCACCTCTTCCGGAACTACGATGCTCCAGAAACTGTCCGGGAGCCTCGTTTCAACCAGAACGTTAACCTCAGGCCTCCAGCTCAGCCCTCAGGTTTAAACCATGTTTGATGCATCCATGGGAAGCGACTGGCCCGAGAGGCTGTGGGGTGGTGGGTGGGAGTCGTGCACTTGCCATCAGGCACCCTCACCGTGCCACCAGCCCACCCGCTGCACTGGTCTTTATTGGCTGAGGACAGGGATTGCGGGGGAGCTGTCAGGCCCCTGGCAGGTTAGAAAAGTCCCTGGAAAGTCCTCAGCTGTACCTGCCTTCCACCAGGACGAACTAGCCAGAGAGTGTGGCTTCGTGGGTCCTGCTTCTGAAGAGTTCCCAGCCTCCCCTCTTCCCGCACCCCCAGCCCCCAACACGCACACCCTGAGATCTGGAGTGCATGGGTTTTATGCCAGTCCCTTGTGCCACTGGGCCGCCCTCCTTCCCCGCCCCTAGACCAGCTGGTGTGGCGGGCGGCCCGAAGCAGCGGGGCAGCTCCTACTTACTTCCGACCCAATGGGCGCTTCCTGGACGGTGGGCTGCTGGCCAACAACCCCACGCTGGATGCCATGACCGAGATCCATGAGTACAATCAGGACCTGATCCGCAAGGTGAGTGCCGTAGGCCAGAGGGCCTGGACCCACTGCTCCCTGGAGCCAATCCTGTGTCAGCAAACCATGCTAGGGACCGACCCCCAGGACAGCAGGTGGCTTTTACACACGCACTCATTCATATGTGCACACAGGGCAAATTGATCTCACTGGAACCTGTTCCATGGGTGGGATCTGCCTGAAGCACTGTGCTAAGGGGGATCTGAGGACCACTGTGCTCTAAGTGTGCATGAGTGGGGAGGGCGGCATGCATACCATGAACGTGCCACTCGAGCCAGCCTGGGGACAGGACACATGCTTGCCCTTGAGCTCACCTCTGTGGATAGACAGTCCCACAGGAATGCCTGTCCCCACGGGTTGCCGGTGCTGTGGTGGAGGACCGTGAGGCCTCTGCTAAAAGGCCTGGGGGCTCGGAAAGGGCTCCATGGAACAGGGGACCCATCCTGAGGCCCTTGGGGACAGAGCAGTGCAGAATCAGTGATCTGGAGGAAGAGCAGCAGCCCTCTCTCTGCAGAGGTACAGCAGAGGCTGGCAGGACCCAGCATGCTAGGGGAGGCCCTGTGGCGTGGCGGGCGGTGGGTGACCGGGGTGGGCGAGCGCGGTGGCTGAGCTCAGACCCTGGAGCCAGGGCGCCTCTGGGGGTCCCCGTTCTGCCTGCACTCACTGCAGCTACCTAATGGGGCCATCATAGCGCCTGCCTGGGGAGGCTGCGAGGCCTTGGCATGCTGTTGTCTGTGAAATGTTCACAGCACTGCCGGGAGCCTGAGCTGCATCCTTGCTGCTGTGGTTTCCCGAAGCCCCAGGGCGTCCTGGGCAGCGCAGCAGAGGCTCTGGGCAGACAGAGAAGCGCCCTCTAGGGGCCAGATCGGGCAGGGCGGGCTTCCTGCAGGCGGCAGAGACCGTCAGACTGTCAGACACTAGCCAGTCTAACTCTCCTATTGCGTGCGGATGGGGAGCCTGGGACCCAGAGTGGGAGGCATCACCCAAGATCATCCAGCAAATCGGCAGCAGAGCTTGTTCGGAAGCAAATAAGAGAGGCAGCGGCCGGGCGCAGCGGCTCACGCCTGTAATCCCAGCACTTTGGGAGGCCGAGGCAAGTGGATCATGAGGTCAGGAGATCGAGACCATCCTGGCTAACACGGTGAAACCCTGTCTCTACTAAAAATACAAAAAAATTAGCCAGGCGGGCATAGTGGCAGGAGCCTGTAGTCCCAGCTACTCGGGATGCTGAGGCAGGAGAATGGTGTGAACCCAGGAGGCGGAGCTTGCAGTGAGCCGAGATCGCGCCACTGCACTCCAGACTGGGAGACAGAGCGAGACTCCGTCTCAAAAAAAAAAAAAAAAAGGCAGCACCCAGGGCTCAGGTTCAAGCCTTAGCCCCTACTTCCCTACCACGTGGCCCCTGCAGCTGCTTCCCGGCCTGAGCTTCGCTGAGAGCCCTCATTTGCAAACTGGGTGATCAGTGCCCTCTCCACAGACTGGCTGGAGATTAAATGAAGTAATGATGCAAATACCTGGCAAATCACCAACACCAAGGAACACCGTCTGCCTTTCCTCCCCTGGCCACGACTTGACTTGGGCCAGCATCAGATGGGGTGGGCGGGATCCTTCTTGCAGCTGGTGTATGTGTGGTCCTGTTGGTACACAGATGCTGTCCTGAGCAGATGGCATGTGATGCCCGCACCAGCCGTTCTGGGGTCACGTGCAAGAGGCTGGCTGGAAATCATGCCAGGCATGCTCTTGCCACCAGAGACCTCTTGCCCTGTTCTCATGTGCCCCAGAGCCCAGTCTTGGGCCTCCCCTTGACGCTCCCCTTCGTGCCCCCTACCTGTGGAAGGTCTCTTCTGACTGCCCCTGTCCTGTTCCCAACAGGGTCAGGCCAACAAGGTGAAGAAACTCTCCATCGTTGTCTCCCTGGGGACAGGGAGGTCCCCACAAGTGCCTGTGACCTGTGTGGATGTCTTCCGTCCCAGCAACCCCTGGGAGCTGGCCAAGACTGTTTTTGGGGCCAAGGAACTGGGCAAGATGGTGGTGGACTGTGTGAGTGTGGGCCCCTCCCCCAGGCCACTTCCCTCAGGGTCTGTAGCCCAGGTCGATGGCTTCCCCTCATCCTGTGGGGCCTTTGGTGTTGGAGGAGACAGCAGGGCTCTGTCCATCGCCTTTAGCCAGCTGGAGGGAGAGAGAGTCCACAGTTCAGAGTCTCAGTGCGGGGCAGGGACCCTCAGTGACCACCAGCAGGGGGGTTTTCAAACGCTTTTTAGCTGCGGATCCCTTTCTGCAAACATAGCGCAGTGTAGAAGCCCAGAATGGACAAAGGCTCCAGAGCGGGCTGGGCGCTCACCCTGTAATCCCAGCACTTTGGGAGGCCAAGGCAGGCGGACCACTTGAGCACAGCAGTTTGAGACCAGCCTGAGCAATATAATGAGACTTTGTCTCTACCAAAAAATTAAAAACTAGCTGGACATGGTGGTGTGTGCCTGTGGTCCCAGCTACTCAGGAGGCTGAGGTGGGAGGATTGCTTAAGCCCAAGAGGCAGAGGCTGCAGTGAGCTGTGATCATGCCACTGCACTCCAGCCTGAGCAACAGAAGGAGACCTTGTCTCAAAAAGAAAGAAAGAAAGAGAGAGAGAGAGAGAGAGGAGGGAGGGAGGGAAACTTCAGGGAGAGGGGACATGGAGGCCTGTCGACTCAGCCGCTACCCTTTCCCCCACTCATCATCCCTGAAAGGGCACTGCTGAGACCTCTGCCCCTCTGATTGCACAGCTGGGACAGTCCCTGCAGTCCCAGGAAGGGGTTTTGCCCGAGCCGCTCTGCTGCTGTGTGGCTCAGCCTGACTCGAAAGAGCCTGGGGCTCCCCAGGCTGGGGCTCCGAGAGTGCAGGGCAGGGCCGGGCGGGGTGCGGGCCGGGCGGGGTGTGGGCCCGGCACTCACCAAGGCTGCTTCTCACCAGTGCACGGATCCAGACGGGCGGGCTGTGGACCGGGCACGGGCCTGGTGCGAGATGGTCGGCATCCAGTACTTCAGGTGAGGGCTCAGCCGCCCCAGCCCTTGGCCCCGTGCCCTGGCGTGGTCGGACTCACCGACCTTCCCCTCCCAGCCCTAGTGTGGACTTTCCCTTCCCCAAGGGTCTGCTCTGTTCCCCAAGCCCACCCTGGTCCTAGCTGGCGTCCCCTGCCCAGCCTGAGCATCCTAGGGTGACCCCCTCCTCCCTGGCCCGAACAGATTGAACCCCCAGCTGGGGACGGACATCATGCTGGATGAGGTCAGTGACACAGTGCTGGTCAACGCCCTCTGGGAGACCGAGGTCTACATCTATGAGCACCGCGAGGAGTTCCAGAAGCTCATCCAGCTGCTGCTCTCACCCTGAGGGTCCCCAGCCTCTCACCGGCCCCAGCTGACCTCGTCCATTCAGCCCCTGCCAGGCCAAGCCCAGCCACTGCCCTCCCGGGCAGATCTGGGCCCAGGCACCTCTGAGTCCATAGACCAGGCCTGGGAGAATGCCAAGCTGCCTGCCCGAGGCTGGTCCTGAAGGCCTGTCTCCCACTAACCCCGCCTTCCAGCACTTTCTGTCATTCCAGGCTGGGAAAGTCTAGAGCCCCCTTTGGCCCCTTTCCCTGACTGTCAAGGACAACTGACTCCCCCATCAGCTCAAACATTAAGGGTACCCGGGCACAACCGTACCCCTGCCCCCAGCCCCAGCCTCCCTGAGGGCCTGCCGGGCTGCCTCTGCCCCAGCCCCCAGCAAGGGCACTCCCAGGCTTCCTGGTGGGTGCAGCCCACTCCCTCTGCCCTCTGCTCCGTTCCCTGGGGGCTGGGACTAAAGAAATGGGTGTCCCCCACCCCATCAGCTGGGAAAGCCCAGGCCGCAGGAGTGGGATGCCCGTTGGACTTTGCCCCTCACACTGGCCCAGCCCCTCACACTGCCCCACCCCGAGAACCCTCAGCTCTCAAAGGTCACTCCTGGGAGTTTCTTCTTCCCAATGGAAGTGGCTTAAGAGCCAAAACTGAAATAAATCATTTGGATTCAAGTTCACCTGTGTTGTGTGTGCAGTGGTGTGAGATCCACCTGTTCCCCTGACCCCCGGCTCCCCTCGGCCTTGACCCTTGGCCTTGACCGGACTTTTCCTTTGTACCCGGACACTCTGTTTTCCAGGATCCCTGGGCAGGGACACCTCCTCTTTCCTCTAGGCCTCCCCTAAACCGGCCCTTAGGGTATGCAGAGGCAGCTGCCAGGCCCACATACCCCCGGCAGGCCCAAGGAGGGCCACAATCTTCAACTTCATCTTGGAGGACCAGGGAGAGCCCCATTTGTCACCCAGAGAGGCCGGGGACTCCGCGTGGACAGGCAGCGCGTGTGCAGGGCCGAGGTCTGCCCAGGGCTGGGCAACTCCAGCGTTTGTGCTGCTCCTGCTCCGGCAAGTGGAGGAGCTGGGCGGGCCAGAGCGGCTGTGGGAGCCAAGCTCAGAGGGCGTGGCCCCACTGTGAGCCGCAGGCCTGAGGACAGTGAGAAGTAAAGCGGCGTTCCCCTCCAGGGGCTGCTGCTGCTGGGTCTGGCAGAGAGAGTCCTGGGGGAGGGCATCGGGCAGCGCCCGCCCAGTAAGGTGGGCAATGCCTGGTATAGGCAGGTGGGAGGGCGGGGCCCCCCAGGGTTGGGGTCCTTGAGGAGGGGGTGACCCAGGAGGGGGCTCATCCACATGGGCACTTGTATCAGCCCACAGCTCCAAGGGGTGAATAATTGAAGGGCAGGTCACACGAGCCTGCCCGGCACAGGATGCCTTCCCTGCCGGATCTGGTTACGCCCCAGATCACATTCTGACATCCCGAGTTGGTGAATAATTAAGCTGCCACTCCTCTGAGGCAGGCCTCCATCTCCAGGTCCCTCTCCGAGGCTTCCTCGCTGCCAGCTGAGTCGTGGGCACCTGAGGGACTACCTACCACTGCTCCCGGCTGTGCCATCGCCACCAGCTCCCAGCCTCCTGCTCAGACCCGGGACAGCCCCTCCATGGCCCCCGAGATGGACCAGTTCTACAGGTCCACCATGGCCATCTACAAGGTGAGCACATGGGTGGCCAAGCCAGGCCTGAGCCCCTCCTCCCAGGGCACAGAAATCAGGCCCGCTCTGGAGGACGGAGGGCCAGCCGGGGCTACAGATGTCCTGGAAAGGGAAGCCTGGAGCCAGGCTGGGCCAGGGGTGGGTACGGGGGTAAGGATCCCCGAGAGCACTCAGCCATACAGCGGGAACCCCCAACTCCCAGATGCTGGACAAGGCAGGAGGGAGCCCAAGGCCCAGGGTGGGGAGAGTTGAGTCTGGATGAGAAGGGCCTGGCTGCCCGGCCTGGGAATAAAGAAAGACCCTCCCTCTCTCTCTCTGTCTCTCCCTCTCTCTCTCTCTCTCTCTCTCTCTCTCCCTCTCTCTCTCCCTCTCTCTGTCTCTCTCTCTCTCTGTCTCTCTCTCTCTCTGTCTCTCTCTCTCTCTCTGTCTCTCCCTGTCTCTGTCTCTCTCATTTCTGAGCCCCTCAGACTTCCTACTTCACCCCCGGGGGGTTGTTGCAGCCGCCACAGACATTTATTGAGCGCCTCCTGTGTGCAGGACCCTTTCACCTGGAGGCCTCACACCACCCACCTGTGAGGTGGAAAATGACCACCCTGCTTGATAGATGAGAAAACTGAGACCAAAGAGGTTAAACAGCTCATTCAAGGTCACGGAGGGAGGAAGAGGTGCTGCTGGGATTTGAACCGAGACCCAAGTCCAAGTCCAGGCCCAAGTCCAGGCCCGTCTTCACCATCCGGGGAGCTCTCTGCCCGGCCCCAGCCCGAGGAGGCCCACACTAATCCAGCCACAGCCTTGCCCATGGGGGGCTGTTCTCGGAGGAGGGCGAGAGCTGCCCTTGCCCCGGGGGTGACTGTTGGCAGCCCCAGGCGTGTAGCCCGGCAAGGCCTGGACACAGGGCAGGGCTGAGCCGTGCCCAGTGGGGACCACAGCAGGCGGGCCAGCTTCTGCCCAGCGGGAGGAGGAGAACCTTCCAGGTGCACCATCTCGGGAGGCACCTCGGTCCCGCCAGAGCAGACGTAAGCGGGAGCTGGCTGTGAGGGGACCACAGCTTAGAACAGGACCCCAAAAGATGGGCTCTGAGGTCCCTGCAGCCAAGAGCCAGGATTCTGGGTGAGCCTAGGTTTGTAGATGGGCCCCCCAAAGTCTGGGGCTTCTCACTGGGCTGGGGGTGCCCTGTCCCTGACGCCTGGTGACTTGACTCCATCCGTGGTTCCTTCTCGCTCCCCCATCTCTACACCTTTTTCCTCCCCTGACCCTGGGGTCCAGAGCATCATGGAGCAGTTTAACCCCGCCCTGGAGAACCTGGTGTACCTGGGCAACAACTACCTGCGTGCCTTCCACGGTGAGTGCCTGCCCGGGCCACCGAGCCCCAGCCCTGGGCCTCTGCTGTTCCCACCCACCCAGGCCCCTCCCAGATTCTCTGCATCCCACACCTGTTCATCCTCAACCCTACACCCTCCTACCCACCACCCTCACCCTCACACCTCTGCAGCCAGAGAGGCCTTATGCACCCCCACTCTCCTGTGCCCACGCACCCCAGTCCACACCCAGCACCCCTCATTGCCCCCTCCTTCAGGTGCCTCCAGACACTCCCATGATGCAGTACCAGGCCCTGCAGGCCCACACAGCCCCAGGGCAGCCCCTGACAGTGCATACATTTCTAGGCGTCACCTGGATGCCACCAGCTGAACCCACCCCTATACTCAGTCCCACCTCTGCACCCAGGCTCACACAGCAGCTGGCTTCCTCACTTCAACTGGCCACCACCCACACACCCTGCAGCTGGCCTTGACATTCACTCGGTCCCCGTGCAAACCCTTGTACCCGTCCGCTGTGGCCGCTCATACCTGCCAATAGCACCCCACTACCCACCAGTGCTGATCAACCCTGAACCTCAGGGCCTCCCATCCCCCTGCTTCTTAGATGCTTTCCACGCCACCTCCCTGCCCCCAGCCCTCACCTTATGCCCCTGCACCTGAGTTTCACAGCTCAACTGGTCACACCCTCCTCAGGGGCACACACAGATGCCCACACCCCACCCAGGACAGACACAGTCCCCTCCAGATGAAAAGAGCCTCCAGAAGGGTGGGGCAGAGGCAGGGCTGGACCAGACCTGTCCCTTCTGGTCCACAGCTCTGTCCGAGGCGGCCGAGGTCTACTTCAGTGCCATCCAGAAGATTGGGGAGCGTGCCCTGCAGAGCCCCACCTCACAGATTCTGGGTGAGGCTCCCCCTCCACAGCAGACCCCATTCTTGGGCCCTCCTTTTGCACCCTTGCCCTTCCAGGATGTCCCGAGTCCCTGACACAGGCCTTTCAGCCCAGGGCCCAGAGCCAGACTCTTGTTCTGGGGCCCAGGCTCCCCGCCACCACTCCCTGCCGGGCTGCTCCCAGGCTGGGACACACATGGCCTGGCTCCCAGAGAACCATATGGGAAGTTCCCGGACTTTGGTCCCAAAATCCAGTCTCGGGCAGGCCCTCTGTTGGCTTTCAGCGGAAGAGGGTGGTGGGTGGGCGGGGCAGGCTGCCACACACCAAAGCCACAGCTGCATCCATGCCTCCAGGGGAGATCTTGGTGCAGATGTCTGACACCCAGCGGCACTTGAACTCTGACCTGGAGGTGGTGGTGAGTATCAGGCCCCAGGGCCTGGAGGGGTCACTCGAGGAAAGTGGGCTATGTTCCAAGGAGAGGGCCCAGCCTACCAGATGCCCTTCCCAGGGAGGATGACCGTGGCTGCCCTTCCCAGCACCCGGCTCTGTGGGGCACGGTTCCCTGCAATAGTCGTTCAAGCCTCTAGCAGCCCTAGGAGGCTGGTGGCATTTCTGCCTCCATTTTATAGAGGAAGAAACTGAGTCTCAAAGAGCTAGTCATTGCCTGAGATGCCAGAGTGAATGGAGGCCCAAGGAAGAGAAAGGTCCTTTCACTGCAGCCCTCCTCACTGCAGCCTCCCAGGGAGCAGCCACATGGACCTGACCATGTCACTCCCAGGAGCAGAACCGTTCCACGGCCCCACTGCCCGTAGAACTGAACACAGGCTTCTCAGTGAGGGGTCCCTGGCTCTGTCGATCCAGCAGCTTCTCCTGACACCCCCAACACAGCCCAGCCCCCCGGAAGAGTGGGCCCTCTGCTGGTGTCCCCGCTGCGGGGCTGCTGTCCTGCTGTCCTCTCAGCCTAGAGCCACCGGTCCCTCCCCCTGCCGTCCAGTTGGGAAGCAGCTGTCCCCTCCTTCCCAAAGCCTCCTCTGACTCCCTGGGGCAAGTCCAGTCACCCCTCCCCCTGGACTCCAACAGATGATTCTGTCCGTTCTTAGCTCGTGGTGGGTTCAAAGCCCAGCTTCACCAGTGACTAGTTTTGTGACCTTGGACTCTATGCCTCCACTTACCTATCTGAGGAATGGAGAGAATCATAATAACTGCCTCCCAGGGTTCTTGAGAGGATGACGTGAATTAATAAGCATAAACCGTTTGCCCTGGCCCCTACTTACTGCCCCTGGATACCTTAGCTATGATAACCAGAAGTTAACTCACCTGCCCCTATCCCTCCCAAGACTGGGAGCGCCGCAGAGCCTTCCTTCCTCTCCGTAGCTCCAGGGCCTTCCGCCAAGCAGGGCTTCAGTGACACAGGGGAAAGAAAAGAGCTGAGGGAGTCAGCTTGGCTAGATGGAGAGAAGAGAGGGCTTTCCAAGGGAGCATGGCAGCGGGCTGCGCACAGCCATGAGCGGGCAGCAGGCAGGCATGAGCCAGGGCTTGGGCGCAGGGGCTGAGTGGGAGAGGTGGGGTGGGGCCTGGTGGTGAGGCAAGTGGGAAGGTTCGGAAGGAAATTTTAACTAATTGTTCTCCCTCCAATGTGTGAAGGGGAGCCCCTGGAAGTCAGGGTGCTCTTTGGGGGATACCATAAAATACTAGTCAGTTGGGCATGGGGAACAATCTTTTTTTTTTTTTTTTTTTTAATTTTTTTGAGACGGAGTCTTGCTCTGTCGTCCAGGCTGGAGTGCAGTGTCACAATCTCAGCTCACTGCAACCTCCGCCTCCTGGGTTCATGCCATTCCCCTGCCTCAGCCTCCCGAGCGGCTGGGATTACAGGCACCTGTCATCATGCCTGGCTAATTTTTTTATTTTTTTGCAGAGACGGGGTTTCACCATGTTGGCCAGGCTGGTCTTGAACTCCTGACCTCAAGTGATCTGCCCGCCTCGGCCTCCCAAAGTGCTGGGATTACAGCCGTGAGCCACCGCGCCTGGCGGGGGAACAATCTTTCTATTAGTAAATGCACATCCCACGCACACACAACAAGGCCCCAAGGCCCCTGGGCTCCGTGGACTCCTTGGGCACTTTAGGATGTAGCATTAAGCCCCTGCCACCCCCTTGGATGTGGGCACGGAGTTATGGAGCCTGTGGGTTCCTGTCCTTGTGTTCAATGGCTGTCCTTGTCACTTGTGGCACACCTGGGCTGGGCAGGGATGAGTGTCACCCAGGCCCACTCTGTAAGGAGAGCTGTCCTCTCCAGGCAGTGGCATCTCAGCTGTGATAACTGGGCAGGTCCACTGGCCAGAATCATACCAGACAGAACAGTGCCAGAGGCCACCCCCACCTGCAGCTCATTTATTTGATCCCTACTGACTGCCCTGTGCCAGGCACTGTGGTAGGCCGCGGGAATACAGCAGACAAAAACCCCTGCCATGCCAAAGAGGGAGCCAGAAAAACCCACAGTGAGTAAGTGAATCGATACGTAACACGTTCCATGCAAAATACACTAGGAGAAAAGTAGAGCAGGGAGGGGATGTCTTTGGGGGGTGCAGTTTTTAACAGACGAGGTGACACTGAAAAAGGCCTAAAGGTCCCGGCGCAGTGGCTCACGCTTGTAATCCCAGCACTTTGGGAGGCCGAGGTGGGCGGATCACCTGAGGTCAGGAGTTCGAGACTAACCTGGCCAACATGGTGAAACCTTGTCTCTACTAAAAATACAAAAAATTAGCCGCGCATGTGGTGGCGGGCGCCTGTAATCCCAGCTACTCGGGAGGCTGAGGCAGGAGAATCGCTTGAACCTGGGAAGCGGAGGTTGCAGTGAGCAGAGATCGCACCACAGCACTCCAGCCTGGGTGACGGTGAGACTCTGTCTCAAAAAAAAAAAAAAAAAAAAGAAAAGAAAAAGGGCTGAAGGAGGTAAGGGCATTAGCCAGGAATACATCTGGGGGAAGGGCAATCTGGACAGAAAGGACAGCTTGTGGAAAGACCGAAGGCTGCAGTAGAGGGCAAGTCTCAGATGACCAGCCATTAACAGGTCCTGACTCTGCAGGCCCTGGCGGGACTCTGGCCCTTCCTCTCAGTGAAAGGGACACCTTCGGAGGGTCTTGAGCCAAGGAGGGACAGGATCTGACTTAGAATGTTTTAAAAAATGTTTGTTATTGTAAACTAAAACACAGGCACAGAAAATCTTGCTGAACAGATTAGAGCGTAATGAATCATTATTAGGCAAACCAGACCTGAAACTACCATGCAGAACTTTGCCAGCCTCCCCAGAAACCCCTTCAGGTGCCCCCATCAAAACCACAGCCTCTCCCTCCCTCTAAAAGCGGCCGCTGGTCTGAGGTCGCATTTCCTTGTGTGCCTTCGTGGTTTATCACTCTACCTTACAGCCTGAGACACTAGAATTTGGTTTCACTCTTAAAAAAAAAAAAATTTTTGGCTGGGTGTGGTGGCTCACGCCTGTAATCCCAGCACTTTGGGAGGCCAAGGCAGGCGGATCACGAGGTCAGGAAATCAAGACCATCCTGGCTAACACGGTGAGACCCCATCTTTACTAAAAATACAAAACAATTAGCCGGGCATGGTGGTGGGCGCCTGTAGTCCCAGCTACTCGGGAGGCTGAGGCAGGAGAATGGCGTGAACCCGGGAGGCGGAGCTTGCAGTGAGCCGAGATCGCGCCACTGCACTCCAGCCTGGGCGACAGAGCAATACTCCGTCTCAAAAAAAAAAAAAAAAAGAAATTTGAGTCTCTTCGAACCTCCGGGTTCCCCTTCCGTCTGTTTCTTTTCCTTACACTTTGTCTGTTGGAGACCCTGGGACCATCTGCTCTGACTTTCCCATAGTCTGGAAGTTGCTGAGGATGCTCTCCTAGTATGTTCAGCTGGTTTCTCTGTCCTCTGGATCCGGAGCCTTGCCCTTGGCAAGACCAGAGGGGCTACTGAGTTCTTCCACCAGGAGGCATCACTGTGTCTAGATCTGCCATGCATCCGGGGATACACACCACTGTTCCTCCCATGCCTTTTCAAAGCATTCTTAGCTAGGATGCTTCCAGAAAGAGACCCTTCCCCTTATCTGCTATTATTACCCACTGGCACGTTTCATATGGAGAGGGCAGGAGAAAGGTTTCATTCATTCCCTTTATTCATCAGGTTCCAAGATAATGAATTTGTGCCCTGTCATCCTCTGAAGGTGAAGCCACCAATTAACTTTATGTTTTTACTAACACCATTATGTAGTACTTTTATTTACTATAATCAATATCGTAGATTTAAACTCATTTGACCTATTTCAATGGTTGGCAATTATTACGTTTACTGAAGTTGAAAATGTCCTATTTTTGGCCAGTGGAAGCTTCTTTTTTTTTTTTTTTTGACATGGAGTCTCACCCTGTCACCGAGGCTGGAGTACAGTGATGCAATCTCGGCTCACTGCAACGTCCGCCTCCCAGGTTCAAGCAATTCTCCAGCCTCAGCCTCCCATGTAGCTGGGACTACAGGTATGCAACACTGCATCTAGCTAATGTTCATATTTTTAGTAGAGACGGGGTTTCACCTTGTTGGCCAGGCTGATCTCGAACTCCTAACCTCAGATGATCTGCCCAGTTTAGCCTCCCAAAGTTCTGGGATTATAGGTGTGAGCCACTGCACCTGGCCATTGGAAGCCTCTTTAATCTGCCTCCTGAGTCCTTGCTATCTGCCTGACAAGAGGTTCCAGGCTTATCTGCTACTTG